>NT_187664.1:0-157099 GCF_000001405.40 Homo sapiens | reverse complement strand
GCAGCCTCTTCTTCCCTTTCTTGGTCTCTTCAGAAGGCTTAGGGCTTGGGATTCGAGGTTGCTGGTAGGTGCGTGAAGAGGCGGCATGGCAGCCAGGAACTCCTGAGATGGTGCCTGCTCCACTCCCTCCTGACTGCTCCGGACCTGGGTTGTGTGGTTCAGGGACTCCTCGAGTTTCAGCCTCCGCCCCCCAGCAGCCGGCCCCTGCATTTCTCCCCTTCCTGGATCTTGGGTCCCTGCTGCAAAGAGAAGGACACGAGCTGGACCCTCCCGTGTGCCAGGTGCTGTGCTAGGAGCCCAGGGGCTGCCCTGCCACCCAAGTCCTCCAGCCATGGGGCTGCCCCCGTTTAGTAGATGAAGACACTGAGGCTCAGGGTGGCTCCTGGGCTTGTCCCAGTTGGGAAGGAGGTAAGTCGGAAGTAGGTAGACTAGTGCCTTGGTTGTGACCCTGGGTCCCGTCATCGCTGGCTCCCGTCCTCTCTGGCCCTCCTACATTCACACCTGGCTGGGATCTTGCTCACCTCTGCATACTGTTAATCTTCCCTGATGAACCACACCTGGCTGGCCTGGCTCATCCCACAGCTCTCACGCCCTGTCTGGGATCTCCGTCTTCTGGCTAGCTAGCAGCCCTAGAGTTGATGCCGTAATTACCCCCATTCTATAGATGAGGAAACGGAGGCACAGGGAGACTAGATGACATGCCCAGGTCACACAGTTGGCAAGAGGCAGAGCTGGGGCTCACATCCAGAGTGCAGGGGAGTTTTCTTTCTGTTTTAGTTTATTTGTTTCACTGTATAAACAGTGTTGTGTACCGGCTTCTCCTCAACATTAGCTTTATTTTATTTTATGTAATTTATTTATTTGAGATGGCGTCTCCCTCTGTCACCCAGGCTGGAGTCCAGTGGCGCAATCTCGGCTCATTGCAGCCTCCGCCTCCTGGGTTCAAGTGATTCTCCTGCCTCAGCCTCCCAAGTAGCTGGGATTACAGGCCACCACATCCGGCTAATTTTGTATTTTTAGTAGAGATGGGGTTTCATCATGTTGGCCAGGCTGGTCTTGAACTCCCAACCTCAGGTGATCCGCCCGCCTCGGCCTCCCAAAGTGCTGGGATTACAGGCGTGAGCCACCTCGCCCAGCCTATGTATTTTATTTTTTTGAGACAGAGTCTCCTTCTGTCACCCAGGCTGGAGTGCAGTGGTGTGATCTCGGCTCACTGCAGCTTCCGCCTCCCGGGGTTCAAGTGATTCTTCTGCCTCAGCCTCCCTAGTAGCGGGGATTACAGGCACCCGCCAGTACGCCTGGCTAATTTTTTGTATTTTTAGTAGAGACGGGGTTTCACCACGTTGGCCAGGCTGGTCTTGATCTCCTGACCTCAGGTGATCTGCCCGCCTCGGCCTCCCAAAGTGCTGGGATTACAGGCGTGAGCCACTGCATCTGGCCAACATTAGCTTTATGTAGTTGAACTATGTATATGATTTTGGAGTGACCTGTACTAGAACAGAGAGGAGGCAGAGGGAGGAGCAAGGTGATCTGGAAGGTGACGAATCCAGTCCCATCTGTGGCTGCAGTTAGTGGCTGCAACTGCCCTGGCACTTGCCCTTTGGTGTCAGTTCCCATTGGCTGAAGAGCTACTGAGCTTCATACAGTCTGGAGGTGGGGCTTGAGTTTCTGCCAGGAAAGCTGGGAGAGCCAGGGAGAAGCCAAGAGGCGGGAGAAAGTGCTTCAAGCCGAGGACCTGCCGTTGTTAAAGGCCTGGAAGTGAGAACGTGCCAGGCCCTTTGAGAGGTTACTGTCAACAGTGAGATGGGTGAGTCATCAGCTGGGGCCCCACGGCTCTTGTTTGGGCTGGCTTGGTGGCTTCCTGCTGGGCATAGAGTGAGCAGTGTTTTAGAAAGAGTCATCTGATGTCAGCAGGAGGGATGCAGGATGAATGTCCTGTCACACCTGTCCTGAAATCCTCCAGCACCTTCCCTTCGCCTATGGGGCCCCCCTTCCCTTTGCACAGCTGTCAAGGCCTTGTGTGACCTGACCCCTGGACCCCCTGCCTACCTCTGTGGCCTCAGGACCAACTCCGTGCTAGAATTGTGAACTCTCACGAGAGAGAGATTTTGTCGGTTTTGTAACAAAACTTGCTCATTGCAGTCTCTGGTGCCGAGAACTGTGCCTGGCACACAGTAGGTGCTCAGTAAATATTAGCTGAATGAATGCATGAACCAGCCAGACTAAACTCATGTCATTGTGCCTCACATAGTCTCTCTCCTGTCTGTTCCCCAGCCCCACCAGCATCTCTAACCACTGCTTTTTTTTTTTGAGACGGAGTCTCTCTCTGTCACCCAGGCTGGAGTGCAGTGGCGCGATCTCGGCTCACTGCAACCTCCGCCTCCTGGGTTCAAGCGATTCTCCTGCCTCAGCCTCCTGAGTAGCTGGGACTACAGGCGTCCACCACCACGCCTAGCTAATTTTTGTATTTTTAGTAGAGACGGGGTTTCACCGTGTTAGCCAGGATGGTCTCAAACTCCTGACCTCAGGTGATCTGCCTGCCTCAGCCTCCCAAAGTGCTGGGATTACAGGTGTGAGCCACTGCGCCCGGCCATAATTTTTTTTTTTTTTTTTGAGACAGAGTCTTGCTCTGTCGCCCAGACTAGAGTGCAGTGGTGTGATCTCAGCTCACTGCAACCACTGCCTCCCGGATTCAAGGAATTCTTGTGCCTCATCCTCCAGAGTAGCTGGGATTACAGGCCTGTGCCACCCCTCCTGGTTAATTTTTGTATTTTTAGTAGAGACAGGGTTTTACCACGTAGACCAGGCTGGTCACGAACTCCTGAACTCAAGTGATCTACCTGCCTCGGCCTCCCAAAGTGCGGGATTAAAGGCGTGAGCCACTGCGCCCAGCCTAATTTTTTTTTTTTTTTTGAGACAGGGTCTTTCTCTGTGGCCCAGTCTGGAACACAGTAGCACAAACACAGTTCATTGCAGCCTCAATATCCTGACCCAAGCAATCCTCCTGCCTCAGCCTCCCAAGAAGCCGGGACCACAAGAGCATGCCACCACACTCAGCTAATTATTTTTTAAAATTTTTATAGAGATGAGGTCTTGCCATGTTGCCCAGCTGGTCTCAAACTCCTGGGCTTGAGTGATCCTCCTGCCTCGGCCTCCCGAACTGTTGGGATTTCAGGCGTAAGCCACTGCACCCGGCCTATATGTATAGTTTATTCGTGGACACAAATAAGGAAAAATGTATAACTAACTCTTAGAGGCTCCCTCTGTCAGAGGGAACCAGAGGAGACTTTCTCTTTCTTTATTATGTGTGTCTACAGAGTTAGAATTGTTAGTGATGTAACAGGAAAATAAAGAAGTTAAAATAGAAGTGCCACGATTGGGAACGTAGAGTGGGCTCTGAGGGCACCAGCGGGCACATCTGACGCAGCCAACGGGGAGTCACGGGAGGCTCCCTGGAGGAGGTGACGTTTAAAGTCGAATCTAAAAATAAGCAGTGGGCCAGGTGCCGTGTCTCACACCTGTAATCCCAGCCCTTTGGGAGGCCGAGGCGGGTGGATCACCTGAGGTCAGGGGTTCGAGACCAGCCTGGCCAACATGATGAAACCCCATCTCTACTAAAAATACAAAAATTAGCCGGGCCTGGTGGCGGGTTCCTGTAATCCCAGCTACTTGGGAGGCTGAGGCGAAAGAATGGGTTGAACCGAGGAGGCGGAGGTTGCAGTGAGCTGAGATCATGCCACTGCACTCCAGCCTGGGTGACAGAGCGAGACTCCGTCTCAAAAAAAAAAAAAAAAAAAAAAAAAATCGCAATAGGTGTTTCCATGTTATCCCTTCCAGAAAAGTGGCACCTCAGCTGCAGAGTTCTGACACTGCTCCCCTCCCCAGTACGGCCTTGCCCCTCCCTTGACACTGCCTTGGGAGTCAGTCACCAGGTCAATCTGTCCCTGAGACTGTCAGCTCCGCGAGGGTAGGCACGGGGTTCCCTGTCCATGGCTGCATTCCGATGCTAGCACACTGCCTGGTGCACAGCAGGCGGCTAACAAATGCTTGCTGATTGGGTCAGGCGGTTAACAACTGCTTGCTGATTGGGTCAGGCGTTAACAAATGCTTGCTGATTGGGTCAGGTGGTTAACAAATGCTTGCTGATTGGGTCAGGCGTTAACAAATGCTTGCTGATTGGGTCAGGCGTTAACAAATGCTTGCTGATTGGGTCAGGGAAGGAGGGAATGGAGGGTGGGTGTGGGGGAAGACTGTGGGGAGTCAACCATTGGAGACTGAGATTTAGACTTGATGGTGTCAGAAATCTCAGTGGCTGCGAAAGATTTCAAACAGTAGCTAGGTGTGGTGTGTGCTTATGCCCCTCACCCTCCATGATGCTGTTCAGCCCACTTCTCCAAGTTCATCTTCTGTCCTCTAGCAAGCAGCGCTTCTTAACCTGCCTTCCTTCCTCTCTTCCTTCCTTCCTTCCTCCCTCCCTCCCTCCCTCAAGACAGAGTCTGGCTCTGTTGCCCAGGCTGGAGTGCAGTGGTGCGATCATAGCTCATTGCAGCCTCCAACTCTTGAGCTCAAACGATCCTCCCACCTCAGCCTCCTGAGTACCTGAGATTTCAGGTGCGCCACTGCAACCGGGTTGCTGAAGCTGCTTAACCCTTTCCTTTCGGGCCTTCTCTTCTTTGCCTGGAAACCCTTCCCTATTTCCAGATGCTACTCAGAAGCCACTGTCCTGTGAAGCTTTCACTCTCAGGCAGCGTTAGTGCCACTGTCCTCCATCCCCAGGGTGGCTGGTAAACGAGAACACTGCCTCGTGTGTTCACACGTCCTCACCCCAGACGGATCGAGAGCCTGAGAACGGCAAGGGCCCCGTCTCCCAGCCTCGTATGTGTGCCATGCCAGGCCTTTTCTGGGTATGAATGAATGAATGAACAGACAGATGGACAGACAAGATCAGGAGCCAAAGTGGGGAAGTACGTGTGGTCGTGTGGGTGTAAGAGGCTCTAAAGCTTGGTGGGGTGGTGGCTTTGGCAAAGGAAAAGAAGAACCGAAGGACTTGGTAAAAGGGATGTGGGGGTTGAGGGAAGGAAGACTCGTAAGATGGCGGCCGCACTAACAGAAGTGGAAACCCGGAAGGGGAAGCTGTTTCAGAAGGAGGAAGGGTCCTTTGGTCCAGATGTGTGGAGTGGAAGGGCCGTGGCTGGGCTTCCAAGTGAGGAGACCCAGTGGCCGGGGCAGGTGCTAGACCTAGAGCCCAGCAAGACACCAGGGCTGCAGCTGGCAGCGGGCCACCACTGGCCTGGAAGGGAGAAGGGCTGCTTCTCTGGGGGAAGGGAGCAGAGGGCTGAGGCTGGGCCCAAGCAAGTGACTCCACATTTACAGGAGGCGGGAGAATGAAGGGCCAGCCTACACCAGAGAGTGGTCGGGGCAGTGCCTGCATCAACAGGGCAGCTGAGGGCTTGGAGAAACTCTAGACTGCAGAGGCCAAAGAGTCGGAGAGGGAGGCCTCTGGCTTTGGAATAAACCGTTTGGGGGGGCCTTTGAAGCAGGCTGCTTCTATGGAGAACATTAGGAGCCAGGCCGAGGCAGATGGAGTGTGGAGCTCAGGTCCAGGGCTGGCTCAGGGCATTTGTCAGGGAAGGGGAGGGAAGCTGTGGGGACTGGTGAGTCACTTCCCCTCCAGGGGGGCACCGAGGGCCTGTGAGTGGAGTCTGTGTCTGATGGAGGGGCACTCTCATTACTCACTGGAATTTCCAGCCACCGGGGACAGGGTGGAGTAGAGAGGCCCTGGATACTCAGGGAGTCACTTGTGTGGGGTTCAGGGATTTTGGGAAGAAGTGGGCGTCAGTCTCACCATGCCGTGTAGAGGTGTGGGGAACGGGGACGAGGATATCCTGGCAGACTTCCAAGGGCACCTCATGTCCTCTTGAGTGGAGGAAGGAACACAGCAGGGGCCTGTGGGGTTTTAGGCCCTTCTTCGTGTCACCTGCAGGTCTGACTCATGTGGGCAGCCCATGCCATGCACTTGGAGCCCGCCGGGCGGGAGACAGAAGAACCCGTGGTACCAGGCCCTGAGCTGGCATACTTGTGCCCTGGGGAATGCCAGGCCTGGTCGTTCCCAAGCCCTCGCCACAGCCTCACCCGCCCGCACCAAATGAGGAATTGTGGCTGAAAGGGCCCTTCAGATGCGCCCTGGCTATTTATAACCCACCCAGGCAGGGACAGGGGAAAACCAGGGGCTGGAAGGAGATGGGTGGGGTGGGGGTGTGCCTCTGTTGAACCCTGGTGGCACAGTTCCCTGATCAAAGGCTGTTAGCCCTGGGGCCCCTCAAGGGCTCACCCCGCAATCCCCTGCTCTGTATTTCAGCTCTGCAACAGGATGGAGCCTCTCTCCAGGGAGGGCAGCTTCTCTGCTGCCAATGGAATTGCATGAGCCCCACCTAGAGCCCAGAGCTTCTGAAGAATTCTGGGGGGAGTGGGGGGCTGTGGCCTGAACTCGGGCCACAGGTGTGGTTCATTTAGACGGCACCATGTTGTTTTAAAATGTTAATTATTTGCCATCGTTTTAAAATCAGGAGCATTCCTGTTAATAAGCCAGATTTTAGCTTATTTTGAACAGAGATCAGGCAGCCATGAGCTTGCGTTTCCTCCAGCAGCCATCGGCTGGAGTGAGTGGTGGTTTCACCCTGCCCTACCTGGCTCGCTTCACCGGCTGGCCTCACCCGCAGGCCTCACCCGCACCCTCATGGGTGCCGTTTGCAACCTTTGCTCCATCGTTGGGTTGTAAAAGAGCTTTTCCCAGGGCCTCCTCTGGACTCCTCCTCCCATGGAAGGAGGTGTATGTGCATCTGGGAACTAGGGCCAGGGGGACCAGAATGTGGCCTCACTCCCTGCACAGTTGGGGGTTCTGCAACCATTGGAGAAGCCAGGGGAAGCTGGCTGGGAGTGGGCAGGGCCGGAGATGGTGCCTGTCCTGGGTTCTGTGTGCACTCCCCTTGCAGGATGGCTCCCTGCGGTGGGGTGGCTGGGGGGGCTGCTTGGAGGAGGTGGGGGTGCTGGTCTCAGCAGTGCCTGTGAGTAGGTGGGAGGCTGCTCAGAGGAGGTGGGGGTCCTGGTCTCTGCAGCGCCTGTGAGTAGGGGGGCTGGTCTGTGAGTGGGGGGGCTGCTCAGAGGAGGTGGGGGTGCTGGTGTCAGTAGCGTCCGTGAGTGGGGGGACTGCTCGGAGGAGGGGGGCTGCTTGGAGGAGGGGGATCCTGGTCCCTGTGAGTGGGACGCCCACCGCTCCTGTGCAGGACAGTGGTGGCGCCGCGCTCCTGCCTGGGGGCAGGTCAGGCCTGTCTGTTGCAAAGCCTGACTCCTCCAGCGGCGGCGGGACGCGGCTGTGGCTTCTGGGCGGGCCGGGGCCTCCCCTCCGGAAGGGGGCTCCGGCGCATGGGGACTCCGGGGTGGCTCTGGGGGTCGCCCCTGCTCGCCGGGCTCCTGGCTCGGCCGCGCGCGGGGAATGAAGATGCGTCTGGGAAGCGGCCTCCCCGCTCCACCCCACCCCGGCCCGGCCGCGGCCTCCTCGCTCCTCCTCCGCCGCAGAAGCCTCCGCCAGCCGCGGCCCCGCAACCCCAGAGGACGGGCGGCTCCACCTCGCGACGCGCGTTTCCTGTGTGTTCGGAGCGAGCGCGAGCCCGAGCCCCGGAGCCCGGGAAGGGCGGGCCCTGCGGGGCCGGGCGGGACACGGAGGAGGGCGCTGGGCTGCTGTGCGGCGGGTTCGCCTCCGCCACGGGCCGGGCACGGCGTCAGGGGCTGCCCGGGCCTTGCTCCCCCTTTCGCCGGGCGAGGACGCGCGAGGCGGCGGCGGCGGCGGCGGAGCGGGCTGGACTAGGTCCGGGATGCAGTCCCGGGTCGGGAGCCCCAGGCCGGGCGCGCGGGTGTAGACCTGCCCCCCCTCCCGCCCGCCTCCTCCCTCCTCCCTCCTCCCGCCGCCGCTGCGTGGACCCCGCTTCCTGTCTGCCCTCCGCGGGCTCCGGCTGCCATGGAGGAGGAAGAGGAGGCGATAGGCTTGCTGGACAAGGTTCTGGAGGACGAAGATGTGTTTCTCCTGGAGGAGTGCGAGCTGGGAACCCCGACCAGCCCCGGCTCAGGGTCCCCCTTCCTGGTGGCTGTGAAGGTGGGAGCGTGACACGCCCTGGGCGCTGGGGGGGGCCGGGCCGGCGCTGCCGAAGGTGCGCGGGAGAAATGGCTGATGCGGGCGCAGAGCGCGCGGCCGGGTGGAAGCCCTCGGCGGAGGGTCCCGGCCCCGGCAGCTGTTCCCGGGGGAGAGGGGCGGGCCTGCCTCCCCGACCGGTGTCCTCGGGGCAGTGGTGGCCGCCCCCTCCAGGCCAGCCCAGCTCAGGGCTCCGGCGGCTGTGCCAGGAGTCACCTGGCGCGCCTGTCAGCCCGAGCCTCGCCGCCTCCCTGGAGCGGGTGGGCAGGAATCCCCCGTTTCCACGGCAACCGCAAGAGAGGGGCCACCCTCTTCCCAGCCAGGAGACAGGGACTTGGTGTCTCCGAGCTGAGGCAAGAGGGTGTTTGCAAAGGGCAAGAGCCAGAGGTCACTGAGCTTCCTTGAAGGAAAAGCACTGGGTCAGCTGAAGGGGGGAGGGAACAGCTGGCTTGGAGGCTGCAGCCAGGTGGGCAGGTGCCCTTCCCGAGGCGGGACAGGCAGGGAGCATCTGCTGGGCCCTGGCCCACCCGCTCTGGGGCTGACGGCGTTCTCTGCAGCAGTGACCCGTCCTGTAGGAGAGGTTGGCTCCCGGTGGAACTGGAGGGCAGTGGTGGCCAGAATCCCTTGAGGAGCGGGGCGGCCCCGGAACCACGCCGGCTCTGTGAGTCTGGCCCGGCACACCACAGCGGTCTTCCTTTTTCTCTCCTGGACACACCTCTCAGAGCTTCCACCTCAGCCTTTTGCTCAGCTGCTCTCTGGTTCTGTGTCGAGAAGGGAGGCCCAGTGAGGATGCGTTTCGGGGAGTTTGCAGACTGCTAGGCGAGGCTGCCTAACCGAGTGCCCATCGGCGGGGCCTAGAAGGCATGTGCAGCCAGCATTGCTGGGGACGGGAGGCTGTCCCTGAACCTCTCTGGGCCTCCCTGCCCCTCACAGAAGATGGGGATCACAGTCCTGCCCCACCCACTCTACAGTGTGGCTCTGAGGAGGAGCCAATGGAGGTAAAAATAGATGCAGAACCACGGGAGATGGCTGATGTGTGAGTATGGGTGGAGCGGTGGCTGCAGGCCTGGGTGGGGAGTGGAGCTGTAGGGAGGCTGGCAGTGGCTGGCACCCCACCCTGTCTTCTCTGATCTGGTGCTGGCGTAGGGCCGTGGGGGTAAGTCACGTCTCCCCGTGGGCTCAGGGAGGCCTCTGCACTTAGGGTCTGACCAGCCTCCCCACTAGGAACAGGGTGGGAAAGTCTGCTCCTGAGCCAGGAGTCAGGCTGGGAGTAGCAATGCTGGGATGGGAGGTGTGTGGCCCTCATGGGCCTCCTCTGGGAAGCCCCCAGCACAGATGTGGGCCCACTCAGAGGCTGCCTCCTGGACCTCCCCTTCTGCTGGACCCCGGCGTATGCCTCAGCTAAGCCCGTATTTCATTCTGCTCAGATGCTCAGAACTCTAGACATTTGCCTCCGCAATTATATCCCATTCTCCTGGAGGACCAGGACCATGTCATATTCATTGCTGAACACTGCACAGTGCTTGGTGTGGGGCTGGTGCCTGTGAGAGTCTGCACAATGTGTGAGGCCCGCTGGGGCCCACGAAGGGTGCACCAGGTTCCCAGCCTCGCTCCATCTCAGAGGTGTCCTGCTGTGTACGGCGGTGGCCCACGGATGCCAAGAGAGCCTGAGCACGTGTCACACCTGAAAACGCTGCTCCTCCTGGGTCCCCGTGAGCACCGGGATGGTGTCTTCCCCTCTACTTTGCTGCCAGCATGGGGGAAGGAGACCTTTCTCGAATGCCGGGGAGTTCCAGGCTCCCTGCTCCATCCTGAACACCTCTAGAATTCCTCCCTCCTCTACCGGCATTGGCCTCAGAGGGAGAAGACAAGCAGGTGGCCACAGAGCGGTGGGAAGAAAGCTCCTGGATTCATTCAACAAACACTCTCAGGTTAGGTGCTCTTCAGAGCACCCTGCCTGGCACTGTAGAGATGACAAGAGGAACAAGGCGTGATCTTCCCTCACAAGGCGTTCAGAGCAAGGGGCAGGTACAGGGAGTAGGAATAGAGTACGGAAGTAGGCAGGGTGGGCCAGATGCGGTGGCACACGCCTGTATTCCCAGCACTTTGGGAGGCTGAGGTGGGCGGATCACCTGAGGTCAGGAGTTCGAGATCAGCCTGACCAATATAGTGAAACCACATCTCTACTAAAAATACAAAAATTAGCCGGGCGTAGTGGTGGGCGTCTGTAATCCCAGCTACTCAGGAGGCTGAGGCAGGAGAATCGCTTGAACCTGGGAGGCAGAGGTTGCAGCGAGCCAAGATCATGCCACTGCATTCCAGCCTGGGCGACAGGGTGAGACTCAGTCTCAAAAAAAAAAAAAAAAAAAAGACTGTGAGAAGAGTACTGATAAAAGGGCACCAAATTCAGGGGAGAAGGGACCACTTCTAGTGGAGTTGGGGATGGCCTGGATGCGTGCATGTGTGTGTGTGTGCAGGCCAAGGGTCATTTCTGGATGATACACTCCTGTCCTGGGCTGCAGAGGTTCTTGGCACACCCTTCCCTGGCAGCTAGTAGGAATCCAAGGCAATTCTCTTTGCTATTACTTTACTTTAGGGGTACTTACCTTAAGCAGCAGTTGCGTTGTGAGCATGTGCCCAAGTGCCAGGCCCATAAATCAATCCTGTTTCCAGTGTCATTTCCAAGACGCTTCATCTTCCTGGGGGGCAGAGGTAAAGTTGGCTGCAGTTTTCTCCAAAGCTATAGCTGGAGTTTGCTGCATATCTCAGCCCAGACTTACCTTTGAAGAGTTATTGATCTGTAAAACTGGTAATGCAAATAAAATACTGATAGCAGCGTCATGTTGCATTTGTAAAATGGCTTACACTTGCCAAAAATGTTTCATGCCATTCTATTTAAAGATAGGTAGGGTTGTGACGGGGGCGTTGTAGAAGGTGCTATTTTAAGGAACTTATTTGTCAGGAATAAAAACCCTTTTGTAATGCAGATTAACCCTTTAGGTATCATTCTGTGCCATTTTTTTTTTTCTTTTGAGACAGAGTCTCACTCTGTCACCCAGGCTGGAGTGCGATGGCACAATCATGGCTCTCTGTGGCCTCCACCTCCCAGACTCAATCAGTCCTCCCACCTCAGCCTCCCCCTCACTACAGGCACATGCCACCACGTTGGGCTAATTTTTATATTTTTGTAGAGACAGGGTTTCACCATGTTGCCCATGCTAGTCTGTAACTCCTGGGCTCAAGCAATCTGCCCCTCTTGGCCTCCCAAAGTGCTGGGATTACAGGAGTGAGCCACTGAGCCCAGCCCAATTCTGTGCCAGTTTTTAATGGATCATCTGAAACATCTCTATTTCTGTTTCACCTGCCCAGGTCTCTTGTGCCTGCACATCATGCCTGTATCCCCCATTTGGATGTTTTTCTAAGTGCGGGCCCCACGTGGTGATTTGAGAAATGATCGGTGGCACCTCGATCTATATTTTGCATTTTAATGGTTAAGTATATATTTTAATATATATTAGAAAAAATATGACCTGTACATTTTTCTTACGATTTCAAATACGTGTAGGGTAAGACTGCTTTTTACAAGTCAGTTCTTGGGCGCAGTGGCTCATGCCTGTAATCCCAGCACTTTGGGAGACTGGGCGCGGTGGATCATGAGGTCAGGAGTTCAAGACCAGCCTGGCCAACATGGTGAAACCCTGTCTCTACTAAAAACACAAAAAGTATCTGGGCGTGGTGGCGTGCACCTGTAATCCCAACTACTCAGGAGGCTGAAGCAGGAGAATCACTTGAACCCGGGAGATGGAGGTTGCAGTGAGCCAAGATCCTGCCACTGCACTCCAGCCTGGGTGACACAGTGAGACTCTGTCTCAAAAAAAAAAAAAAAAAAAAAAAGTTACTGTAAAGAACAATATTGAGTAAAGAATAGTGCAGGTGGTGGTATGTGAGTATGGCAAAATTTTAAGGGTGGGATATGAACAACCAAAGTTTCAAAACATTGCCTGTGCCCTATGGTGCCTGCCTAAGACCTCAGACAGCAATAGGGAGCCCAGAATACGGGGATCCACCCTTCAGGAGAGAGGGGCCACTGGAATTTGGTCTTTGTCCCCCAGCAGTTGACCCGTCTTCTCTGTTCTAAATTCTGCCAAGGAAGCAGCTGAAAGAGACTTCCTCAGCGCCTAGCGCTGGGAGAGGAGAGGGTCTCTCGATGCCTCTACACTGCCTCAGCTGTCCTGAGACTGAGATGGGCCAGTTGTCCTGAGGTTGATGCTTGGTGTGGGTATAAGCCCCAGGCACGGCCACCCCCACCCCCAGGCCCAGTGGCATCTACTCTGAGCAGATCCTGCTGGGTACTCCTGGCAGCCAGCTGTGGCCCGTGAACTGACTTCTACCGTCTGTGAAGCCTCAGACCCTCGCTGCATGCCCTATAGCCTTGAGTCGCAGCCAGAGAGCCAGCCCTGCTTGTTGTCTTGGAGGCCAGTGCTACTGGAGAGATTGTGTCTTTGCTTGGCCTGGAACCAGATGTTTGGAGGCTTTATTTAGCCTCTCAACTCTGTGGAGGACCAGGCCTGAGCTGGCCACGCCTTATCTCTAGACATTGTTCCTACCAGAGTGACCTGACGTCTTTGGTTTGGCGGCTTCAAGCTGCCACACTGTCAGCCTAGCAGATTGTGCAGGATGCTGAGGATAAACGAACCCACCAGGACTGCATTTCACAAGTTCTGGCTGGGAGGAAGTGAGGACAGGCAGCTTCCCGGTGCTGGAGACAGGTAGGCAGCGTGGCAGAGGCTGTGGGACCTGGAACTCTTTAGAGAACTCGCTCCGGAGCATTCTAGGCACGTGGGCACCTCTCCTTCACCTTCGTATTCCCAGTGCCTGGCTCCCGGTGGGAATGGGTGAGTGAGTGGTGAGCCTGGTTTTTGATGAGACAAGAGACGCCCTGCAAAGACTGAAGAAACAATGTGAATTTCCTCATGGCTCTAAACTGGGAATTGTGGAGTCTGAGGAAAGCTGGAAAAGATGGGAGATGGAACAGGCCTTCCTTTGGTGGTGACTGAGCAACGGGTCTCCTGTTAGCCAAGTGCACCGAGGCTAATTTCCCATCCGTACGCTCTCCAACGCCTTTGCTCCAATCTCAGCCAAAACTGCAGCGTGAACGGGGCCCAGAGCAGGACTCTTGGGGCTGACTGTTGCCTCTTGAGGGAGGGTCTTCCTGAGTTGTCTTCCCATCAGAACCAGCCTTTCAAGAGTGGACTATGAATGGAAGTCTTGAGGGGAGGATCTTGCAGAAATGGGCGATTACAGGGCTTCCAGGGTCTATGCTCGTGCCAGGGGGGATGAAGCTTGTTTGTGGCTGGGGCTGCAAATCCCTTTCTTCCCCCCATCCTAGTCCAACCAGCTCTACAGTTACAGCTCACGGTGTGGCATTTGCTAAACCCTCAGGCAAAACCTTGGTTGGCAGGGAACAGGAGGGAGTGCTAGCCCCCAGCACAGGGGATGAGTTCCCATTTGTCAAGGCTGGGAAGCAGCAGGAAGACCCCTGAGGGTCTGACCTGGAGGGGCTGGAGCTGGGGGCTGTTCCAGGCTCTGATCTTGTCCCCCGGGGCTACGTGTGCTGGAGGCTGTGCAGGCCTCTGGCAGTCCCGACTCTCGGTGCCTCAGGAAGATGATAACACCTGCCAGGTTTTGAGACTCCGGTGAATTGAACCACAAAGATAGCTAAGCTCAGTTCCTGGAATTTGTGAAGCCGCCAATAAGTAACTATTGCCCTTGCCTGAAGCGTGGGGTCTGTCTTGCTTTTCTAATGCTGCTGAAACAAATCGCCACAAACTTAAGGGCTTAAAACCACACAAATTTATTCTCTTATACAGAAATCTAAAAAGGATCTCGGCCCGGCTCCATGGCTCACACCTGTAATCCCAGCACTTTGGGAGGCCGAGGCGGGCGCATCACCTGAGGTCAGGAGTTTGAGACGAGCCTGGCCAACATGGTGAAACCCCATCTCTACTAAAAATACAAAAATTAGTGGGTGTGATGGTGGACGCCTGTAATCCCAGGTACTCGGGAGGCTGAGGCAGGAGAATCGCTTGAACCTGGGAGGCAGAGGTTGCAGTGAGCTGAGATCATGCCATTGCACTCCAGCCCTGGGCGACAGAGGGAGACTTTGTCTCAATAAGTAAATACATAAATAAATAGATTAATTAAAATAAAAAGGATCTCCAGGGCTGCATTGCTTCTGGAAGCTCTAGGGCAAGCTTTTCCAGCCTGCGGCCATACGGCCCAGGACTGCTTTGAATGTGGCCCGACACAAATTTGTAAACTCTTAAAACATTATATATTTTTCTTTTAGTTCATCTGCTGTCGTTAGTGTTATTGTATTTTATGTGTGGCCCAAGACAGTCGTCTTCTTCCAGTGTGGCTCAGGGGAGCCAAAAGATCGGAAGCCCCTGCTCTAGGGGAGTGAGTTCATTTTATTGCCATTTCCAGCTTCCAAAGGCTCTCTGCATTCCTTAGCTCGTGGCCCCATCCTCTGTCTTCAAACCTACCAGTGTAGCATCTTCCAAGCAGTCCCTCACCACTACCCTGTCTCCCCGGCCCTCTCACTCCCCTTCTGTGGCCACGATGCCTCAGGGAAAGATGGCATTTTAGGCAGCAGGTAAAGAACGAACCGAAAGCTAGAGACCTTTGAAGATGAGGAGGCTGGTTCTCCTGCGTGTGGGGGAGACTGAGCGATGTCCTGGCTGTGGGAAAGACTGGAAGGGTAGGGACGGGCATCCGGGCCACTGCAGGTGGCTCATAAAGGATATGGTGGGCCCCATGTCCCAGTCTAGGGCCGAATCTTTACTTGTTTTTTAAATGTCTTTCCGGCAGGGTGCGGTGGCTCACACCTGTAATCCCAGCACTTTGGGAGGCCAAGGCGGGCGGATCACGAGGTCAGGAGATCGAGACCATCCTGGCTAACACGGTGAAATCCCGGCTCTACTAAAAATACAAAAAGTTAGCTGGGCGTGGTGGCGGGAGCCTGTAGTCCCAGCTACTCGGGAGGCTGAGGCAGGAGAATGGCGTGAACCCGGGAGGCGGAGCTTGCAGTGAGCCGAGATCGCGCCACTGCACTCTAGCCTGGGCGACAGAGCGAGACTCCGTCTCTAAAAAAAAAAAAAAAAGAAAAAATAAATGTCTTTCCCACTAGAGTCTAAGCCACTTGAGAACAGGGGCCACTGTCTGTTTCCCATGGTATCTATAGGGCCTGGTGGACATTCAGTAAATATTTATTGAATGAATAAATAAATGGACACATAGCCCAGTGGAATCCCCAAGTACTCGCGTTTTGCGGTATTCATACTCGGTCCTTGGCAAGCATCGGGCAAGGTGGCACTCTTAGGAGTTGAATCCAGCTCTGGTGTGTGGGACAGGCAGGAGGAGAGGAAGAGAGGGAGGAAAAGTCGGTTCGAGAACCCAGGTGGAAAATAGATTGAGGGAAGCAAAACGAGATGTTACAGGAGGAATATGGGTGATTGTCTTTTCCTTTTATATTTCTGCATGTTTTGTATATTTTTTATAATAATATCTGACTTTTATCCCCTATGAAAGTGTCGCTTAAAATAAAAGGAAAGGGGAAAGGGGGGCCGGGCGCGGTGGCTCACGCCTGTAATCCCAGCACTTTGGGAGGCTGAGGCGGACGGATCACCTGAGGTCAGGAGTTCTATACCAGCCTGGCCAACATGGTGAAACCCCATCTCTACTAAAAATACAAAAAAAATTAGTCTGGCATAATGGCTGGGCATGGTGGCTCACACCTGTAATCCCAGCACTTTGGGAGGCTGAGGTGGGTGGATCACCTGAGGTCAGGAGTTCTATATCAGCCTGGCCAACATGGTGAAACCCCATCTCTACTAAAAATACAAAAATTATCTGGGCATGGTGGCAGGTGCCTGTAATCCCAGCTACTCGGGAGGCTGAGGCAGGGGAATCACTGGAACCCGGGAGGCGGAGGTTGCAGTGAGCCGAGATTGTGCCACTTTACTTCAGCCTAGGTGACAGAGCGAGACTTCGTCTCAAAAAAAAAATAAAGGTCGGGGGGGAAGGGCAGGGAAGCAGACCGTCCACGCAGGGTTTTGGCCTCCTTGCTCATGAGCTGTTGGCTGTGCTTTGCGTTTGTGCAGGTGGAAGCAGGGAAAGGCCTGGAGATGAGGAAGCTGGTTCTCTCGGGGTTCTTGGCCAGCGAAGAGATCTACATTAACCAGCTGGAAGCCCTGTTGCTGGTGAGTACAGTCCCTGCTCTGGGGCCTTCCGGTCCCCCCGCCCGTGTTGGGTGATGTCATGCTCTGAAGCTGCTTTTGGAGTTGGAGAGGAAAGGGGACCGTACCCGTCCCTCCCTGTGGACAGAGTCTGCAGCTGGTCTGCTTCTGGCTGGGCATCGGGCAGCCCGGGTCATTGCCAGAAAGGGCCTGTGCCTCTCAGCTCCAGCTCTCAAAAGGCAGGAGAAGCACACCCGGCTTAGAGATGGCAAACACACCTGTCACCCACGACCCTGGCATAGGGCATCGTGAACCCATCATGGTGCTCTGCCTGCCTGGGCGGGGGCCGAGCGCCTTCTCCACGCTGTGCTCTGGGCAGTCATTCCCAATCAATCCAGTTAAGAAGTCTCTGCCGTCTTGTGTCCAAGTCCTTCTACCTCCCTGGGTGAGGGAACCGTTAGTGCCATCCTGAGGCCCCGTGTCAGGAAATATGAGGTGGGAGGCTGTGTTCTTTTTTTTTTTTTTTTTTTTTTTAAGACGGAGCTTTGCTCTTGTCACCCAGGCTGGAGTGCAGTGGTGCGATCTCGGCTCACTGCAACCTCTGCCTCCCGGGTTCAAGTGATTCTCCTGCCTCAGCCTCCCGAGTGGCTGGAATTGCACGTGCACGCCACCAGTCCTGGCTAATTTTTGTATTTAGTAGAGACAGGATTTTATCATGTTGGCCAGGCTGGTTTCCAACTCCTGACCTCAGGTGATCTGCCCGCCTTGGCCTCCCAAAGTGCTGGGATTACAGGCATGAGCCACTGCGCCCGGCCTGTCTGTGTTCTTTTGAGAAGCGGCACAGCTCTGAGGCATCAGGCCAAGCTCAGCCCTCGGTAACATGCCTCAGTTCCCCTCCCAGATGGAGGCATCGTTGTGAGAGTCTGATTGGGAGGGGAATATGAAAATGTTTTCGGAAGATAAAAGTACTACACAGATGTGAGGTGGTTTTGCCTTGGAAGAAAGTGCTCCTTAGATGTGTCTGGATGTTATGCAGAGTGATCGTGGCGTGTCAATCTTTCTTTTGGGTATTTTGCAGCCTGAGACATAAGGTAATTGTCAGAAAAGGGAGACGCAGAAGTGTGGATCTGTGGAAGCTCATTCTTAACAAGAATTCTAAGATGCACATTTAAGTACTTGCCATGACGTGAGGTGTTGTCACACGTCAACCCTGAGATGCTGTCAGTGTCCCAGGGGACTTGACATTTATGTTACCCAGGAATGACTGTGTAAATGTGCAGGTGCAGGCCGGGCGCCGTGGCTCAGTGCCTGTAATCCCAGCACTTTGGGAGCCCCAGGTGGGCAGATCACTTGAGGACAGGAGTTCGAGACCAGCCTGGCCAATGTGGTGAAACCTTGTCTCTGCTAGAAATGCAAAAAAAAGCCAGGCGTGGTGGTGCATACCTGTAATCCCAGTTACTCAGGAGGCTGAGGCATGAGAATTGCTTGAATCTGGGGGCGAAGGTCGTAGTGAGCTGAGAGTGCGCCACTGTACTCCAGACTGGACGACGGAAGTGAAATTCCTCAAAAAAAAAGGCTGGGTGCAGTGGCTGACACCTGTAATCCCAGCACTTTGGGAGGCCGAGGTGGGTGGATCACCTGAGGTCAGGAGTTCGAGACCAGCCTGGCCAACATGGTGAAGCCCCATCTCTACTAAAAATACAAAAAATTAGCTGGGCGTGGTGGCGGGCCCCTGTAATCCCAGCTACTCAGGAGGCTGAGGCAGGAGAATCGCTTGAACCCGGGAGGTGGAGGTTGCAGTGAGCCGAGTTTGCACCATTGCACTCCAGCCGGGGCAACAAGAGTGAAACTCTGAATGTGCAGCTGTTTTGCCACACGCCAGGCTGAGTACGTCCCATCTCTCCAGGAGTTTATCTGTGTGTACGGAGCTGTTTTCCAAGTGAGGGGCAGTGTGGCAGGTAGCTGAGGGTCCTGGTCTGGGGCCAGAGCTAGGGCAAGACTTGGCCCTGCCATTAAGAGCAGGCGTATTGCACTGTTTCTCAAACTGTGCCTCTCAGCCCATCAGTGCTTTGGGTTGTGAAATCAGTACAGTGGGTTGTGAAACCAGTACAGTGGGTTGAACCAGCATTTTTAAACCAATGAAAAAATGTCAGCATGCATCATACACGGGAAAGATAAGTGAGGGAACTTTCGGTTTGTTGTCTGTCTGTGTGCCTGTATATATATGTAATTGCCGGGCCCATGGTGTCTTACACCTGTTGTGGGTTTGAAAACTGCTGGCTTTGGCCGGGCGCCGTGTCTCAAGCCTGTAATCCCAGCACTTTGGGAGGCTGAGGTGGGCGGATCACAAGGTCAGGAGATCCAGACCATCCTTGGCCAACACGGTGAAACCCCGTCTCTACTAAAAAAGTACAAAAAAAATTAGCCGGGCGTGGTGGCGAGCACCTGTAGTCCCAGCCACTCGGGAGGCTGAGGCAGGAGAATGGCGTCAACCTGGGAGGCGGAGCTTGCAGTGAGCAGAGATTGCGCCACTGCACTCCAGCCTGGGCGACACAGTGAGACTCCATCACAAAAAAAAAAAAAAAGAAAAGAAAACTGCTGGCTTTGGGCAAGCCCTACATAAATTCCTTGAGCCTCCATTTCTGGATCTGAAGATGAGAGGGATGCCATTCTTTCTCTCTCTTTCCATGGGGTTGAGAAGATCGGGAGATGCTTTCGGGACCTCATACAGCGTTGAGTTACTTAAGACACTCAACTGTTAGTGGAAGAAAGGAGGACAGGCAAAGAGACAACCCGTCAGACATTCGTGAAACACGTCTTCCAAACCGTGAATTGCTGTCCAAAAAGGAACATAGTTGTCATTACTAACAGGGTGTGTATTTGAAAGGAGTTCAGACAGAGGATCTAGACTGCCTGGCCGTACTGGCTCCAGGCTTTCAGCAGGTGAATGAGCTATCGTGCCTCAGTTTTTCCATCTGCAAACTGGGTATACAAATAGTATGCTTTTCATGGGGTCGTTGTGAGGATTAAAGGAATTTATACACAGAGTTCTTTTTTTTTTTTTTTTTTTGAGACGGAGTCTTGCTCTGTTGCCCAGGCTGGAGTGCAGTGGCACAATCTCGGCTCATTATAACCTCCGCCTCCTGGGTTCAAGCCATTCTCCTGTGTCAGCTTCCCAAGTAGCTGAGATTACAGGCACCCACCACCACGCCCAGCTAATTTTTGTATTTTTAGTAGAGATGAGATTTCACCATGTTGGCCAGGCTGGTCTTGAACTCCTGACCTCAAGTGATCCGCCCGCCTCGGCCTCCCAAAGTGCTGGGATTACAGATGTGAGCCACTGTGTCCGGCACATAAAGCTCTTAGAACACAGCCTGAGTGTTCGTTGACACTGTTAATTTCTCTATTGCTGGGAGAGGAGACAGGTTAGGGCTTCGTGGTTTCTGCCACAACACACCCGTTCCCTGAAGGAGGGAGTGGCGCCTGTCCCCATCAGACACGGAGCCCTTAGATCCCACCTGCCACCCACGAGCCTCTTCCTCTGGGCCAAGACCAAGAGCCCCTCCCTGCTCTGCCTTTCTAACAGCTCATGCCCCAAAGGCAGAATCTGTGGGGCAGGGGCCCCCTTCCTGATATGCCTGGCGCAGGTTCCCCCCTTCCCCAGCTGTCTCCTCCCGGGGCAGGTTCCCCCCTTCCCCGGCTCTCTCCTCCCCGGGCAGGTTCCCCCCTTCCCCAGCTCTCTCCCGGGGCAGGTTTCCCCCCTTCCCCAGCTGTCTCCTCCTGGGGCAGGTTCCCCCATTCCCCAGCTCTCTCCTGGGGCAGGTTTCCCCCCTTCCCCAGCTCTCTCCTCCCGGGGCAGGTTCCCCCACTTCCCCCAGCTCTCTCCACCCGGGGCAGGTTCCCCCCTTCCCCAGCTCTCTCCTCCCGGGGCAGGTTCCCCCCCTTCCCCAGCTCTCTCCTCCCGGGGCGGGTTCCCCACCTTCCCCCAGCTCTCTCCTCCTGGGCCCCTGCTTGGCTCTTTCTTGAGCAGAGACCAGAGGGAGCAAAGGAAGAACTCGCTGGGAGGCCAGGTCTGTGGTAGGAGGGCTCAGGAAGAGGAGTAGGACCCTCCACAGCCACAGCCTCAGAAGAAAACCTCAGAGTGAAAGAATCACACCCTTCCTCCTCTCCTCCCTGAGCTGGGAACCCCTGCACCCTCCCCACCCCTCAGCTAGGAGGAAGCTAAACCTTCTGCTCTTCGGGGTGGCCTCGCAAAGGTGCCAGCTTGAAGGAGAAGAAATTCGTTCCCTCCATGCTCGCTTTCCCACTCCTGACCCCATTCCCACCGCTCTGCCCCAGCCTGTTTGCTTTCATCTGAACACTTCCTGATATGCAAAGGGCTGGGTGTGTGTACCTAAAACCATGTGCACACACGGGGCAGACGAGCCTCCACACAGAAGCCTCCGTCCTGGCCTCTGGGGTGCTTGTGGGGGTCATCTTCTGGGGCCCTCCTGCTTCCTGGTGGGCTCTGATTACAGGAAAAGCCTGGGAGCCTGGGCCGAAGTAGGGGGTGAAGGAAAAAAGATGAAGCCAACTGCATTGAAATTCTGGATCTCCTTGACACTGGGAACTGAGCTTGGGAACTGTGTCTTGCTACGCTGGGGCCACAGGGTGAGGCCACTCCCCAGAGCCCCTCCCACCGCTGGCCACGACTGGCCCTCCTGGGGTGGACTCCTGGCCACGCTGCATCGCAGGCTCTTTATCTATAAAACAGGTGAATGAGGCCTTCCTCCCTGGGCTCCAGTGACGAGTGACTCGGGTGGCATGGCAGCAAGCATGCCAGGCCTTCTGGGGCAGGAGGTGGAGGAAGTGGGTACATTTCTTTCCCTTATTTCGAAAGGCCGGTCGCTGGGGGACAGAGCTGACAAACGGCTATGTGAAGTCCCACTGGCAAGTGAGAACCGGCCCAGGCCCGTCTTCCTGAGAAGCAGCTGGTATGGGAGCCAGGGTTGAAGTCACTCACGGGTCCTCTCCGAGAACTCGAGTGGTGAAATGGAGAGCCGGGGCCTGCCCTTGTCCCTGCAGCAGGACTGGGGAGGAGGGGGTGCCTGAGTGGTGTGCTAGCGCTTTGGCAGAATGGCTGTGCCGTGCCGAAGCTCAGTGTGGGTCACCTTGCCTTTCAGTCCACCCTCCTGCCCCTGAGCCCATACGCAGGACTTCACCAGAGACAAATAACGGCCTCGAGGGTCCTGGCCAGCCAAGGGCACACACCCAGCCCTGTCCCCTCCCCGCGAGTGAAATCAGGAGTAACAGCCAAGGTCCCCATCGTGTCATGAGAACCATCTGATGCCCCAAGCGCAGGCCCCGTCCTTGTGACTGGCTGTGGGTGAGCGTCCATTTCTTCCCCTTTTGCAGACGGGGTGGGAAGTTGAGGAGGAAGCATAACCATTGTGTTTTGTCTTCGTGTGGGTGGCAGATGAGCGCGTCGCGGCTTCTGAGAAATCCCGTCTCCTTGGCCTTCCTGGGACTGCTGACCTTCCTGCTTCCCTTATTTCCCCCTCAGTGGGGACTGCGCCAAGGCGGGGACAAGAATTCTTGGGTATGGGGATTCTGTGGCGACTCTGCGGGCTCCTCCGTGGGGTCCTGCGTTGAGGTGAAAAGGATAAACTCTTACGACGATGTCAATCCTGAAGCTAGTTCCATGTCCCTCATGGAGGGTGGGGAGTCCCCAAAGCTTTCAGCTCACCCACCTGGGCTTGGGGGGACACTCTTCCCTTGCTCCTGCCTCCCGGTGCCTTCTGTTTCCCTGTCTGGCATGCCTCTCTACGCCCCCACTCCTCCACCTGCTCAGCTCTCCAAGGACCTGGTATGTGTGCCTCCTCCATGCAGCCCTCCAGGCTACTCCAGCACAACCTTGGAACCATGTGGTTGGTGCTTACAGTCAGTCGCATCGTCCATAGTCATTTCATCTGTGTTGGCCCATTTTGCCCAACTGGATTATAAAGGTCTCAGCCAGGCATGGTGGCTCAACACCTGTCATCCCAGCACTTCAAGAGGCCGAGGCACGTGGATCACTTGAAGTCAGGAGTTTGAGACCAGCCTGACCAATATGGTGAAACCCCATATCTACAAAAACTACAAAAACTAGCTGGGCGGGGTGGTGGACACCTGTAATTCCAGCTACTCAGGAGGCTGAGGCAGGAGAATCGCTTGAACCTGGGAGGCGGAGGTTGCAGTGAGCCGAGATTGCACTATTGCACTCCAGCCTGGGTGACAGAGTGAGACTCTGTCTCAAAAAAAAAAAAAAAAAATTGCAGTCTGGGACCATGATCGTGTACGCACTGACGGGAATGCCAGTAGGTAGCGCATGGCTGTATTATCCCAGTTTCACACATGAGGCTGCTGGTGACACGAAGCCCAGGGATGCTGAGTGATGTGCGCACAGCAGAGCTGCGACTCAAGCCCACCCTGCCTGGCCTGCACCAGGTGGAACCCCATGCGCTTGCCTAGCAAGGACCAGACACCGAGGGGCCGTTGGTTCTAGGACGGCGAGGGTCAGAAGGAGAGGCCTGACCGGACGCAGAGGGGCCGTTGGTTCTAGGACGGTGAGGGTCAGAAGGAGGGGCCTGACCGGACACCGAGGGGCCATTGATTCTAGCACAGCGAGGGTCAGAAGGAGAGTCCTGACTGGACACTGAGGGGCCGTTGTTTCTAGCGCGGCGAGGGTCAGAAGGAGGGTCCTGCTTTGTCCTGCATGGATTGTTGGATCTGGGCTTTTTAGAGCTCGGAGGATGAAGGAGCCAGAAGGCAGAGCACCATCTGGGTGTCTGAGTAGATGAGACGACTTCTTCCAGTGAACATGGGTTCTGTCTCCATCAGAGTGAGGCGATATATCTGAGTAGATGAGACTTCATCAGAATGAGGTGATGTGAGGCTGGAGTGAGGCTGGGCTGGGAGTTTGCCGTGGTTGGCTGGAGCTGGTGGTCGTCGTTCAGAGGGAGCTGGCGCTGGCTTTGGTGTTCCCTTCAGTGCAGCATTTTCAGCAGTGGAGTCACCCATTCTCTGCTAGAATGCTTCTCTTGTCGGAAAGCTCACTACTTAATCCTATGGGGGACAGCTCTAGTGAGCCCGAATCTGACCCCATAACTTTTCCCCACTGTTCCTGGGTCTGCAGAGCAACGTAGATTAAGTCTAAGCCTCGTTTTTGTTTTTGGAGACAGAGTCTGGCTCTGTCACCCAGGCTGGAGTGCAGTGGCGCAATCTTGGCTCACTGCAACCTCTGCCTCCTGAGTTCAAGAGATTCTCCTGCCTCAGCCTCCTGAGTAGCTGGGATTACAGGTGTGCACCACCACGCCCAGCTAATTTTTGTAGTTTTAGTAGAGACGGGGTTTCACCATGTTGGTCAGACTTGTCTCGAACTCCTGGCCTCAGGTGATCTACCTGCCTCGGCCTCCCAAAGTGCTAGGATGACAGGTGTGAGCCACCGTGACCAGCCAAGTCTAAGCCTCTTTCCACGTGGCCTTCAGGTAGGTGAAGAACATCAACAGAATCCGACATGGCTGGCCGGGCGCGGTGGCTCACGCCCGTAATCCCAGCACTTTGGGAGGCCGAGGTGGGTGGATCACGAGGTCAGGAGATCAAGACCATCCTGGCTAACACAGTGAAACCCCGTCTCTACTAAAAATACAAAAAAAATTAGCCAGGCGTGGTGGCGGGCGCCTGTAGTCCCTGTTACTTGGGAGGCTGAGGCAGGAGAATGGCGTGAACCCGGGAGGCGGAGCCGAGATCGCACCACTGCACTCCAGCCTGGGCGACAGAGCGAGACTCCGTCTCCAAAAAAAAAAGAATTCGACGTGGCTGCTCTCCCTCTGGCCACCCTGCCCTTCCCTGCCACACCTTCCCTGTATGGCAGGTTATCAGGCCCTGTGTCCTGCAGGGCCTTTGCAGTACAGCCTGGTCATCTTTGGTTTTTTTTTTTCTGATTATTCATATTCATTCATTGTAGGTGATTTATAAAATGCAGAGAACCACACTGAGGAAATGCCTGCACGTCCCGTTATCCCACGGTCCCACTGCTAGGCTGGAAGGTGATGGCATCAGCTCCCGGCCAGTGCTGGGGGTTGGTCTGTGTTATCTGCCACCTCACCGTCTACACTGGCAGGCCCTGGAGCATCTTGGTATAGACAGGCAGGCATTGAGAAAGAGTCTGAGACTGGAGACCCCTGCCATGCGCAGTGGGAAGGACCATCACGGTCGCTTAGCAATGTCTGCCACGGGGGTGGGCTGCAGTGGGGGACACGTGAACGCCCATGCCTCTCCCTGTGCCAAGTGACGGGAACTTGGAACATCAGTGAGGCCAAGACTGGTCTTGAGTAACTTCGGGTCCCTACCTTCTGAGTCCTAGAACCACATTCTGTTTCTTGGAAGGAAACAGCTATAGGCTTGAGTTCCCTGTCAACCCTCCCTTCCACTGAAGTGTGACAAGGAGCTTATGACTCGGGGCACAGGCTATCGTGGAAGAAAGACGCGGATCCTGTTAACCCAGTACAGGCTGCTGCTGAGCTCAGCTGCGTGGTAGGGGAGTGAGCCCAGGCACCACCCCTCGGGCCTGGCACAGCTGCCAGGCCAGGTTCCTGCTGTCGAGTGTGCGGCTTGTTGGGGCCTGTGGCAGTGGCTCCTTGATACAAAGCTCGTTTCAGTGCCCTGCCTTTGGCAGCCTTGTCTGGGCAGGACTTGGGCAGCGGGAAGGGCTAACGATCGGCCCCGGGGCCTGCCGACACTCTGGTTTGTTTACCCCCGACCTCTGCTCTTTCTTCCTCTGTTTCTCCCAGCCCATGAAACCCCTGAAGGCCACCGCCACCACCTCCCAGCCCGTGCTCACCATCCAGCAGATCGAGACCATCTTCTACAAGATCCAGGACATCTATGAGATCCACAAGGAGTTCTATGACAACCTGTGCCCCAAGGTGCAACAGTGGGACAGCCAGGTCACCATGGGCCACCTCTTCCAGAAGCTGGTGAGTCTGCCAGGGATGGAGGGTCCTCACGCAGGGCCTCAGTGGAGCCCATAGTGTTGCAGGAGCCTCAGGAGAGGACCGGGCAGCCCTCTCGGACTCCTTGAAGGCCTGAGACCTCTCCGAGTCCGGGAGGAAGGCCTGGGCCTGTGTGTTATGGGGTGCCTGGGGCCGGGGCCTTGACTCTAGGCCTCCCCTGGTGCAGCCCTGGGAGCTTCTGGGGTGGTGGAGACAGGCTGTGTGGATAGGTCCTTCCAGGGGTGGTGGAGATGGGCTGTGTGGATGGGCACTTCTGTGGGAGCACCATCTCTCTCCCGGAGGGTGCTCCTTCTCCCTCCCGGAGGGTGCTCCGTCTTTCCCGGACGGTGCTCCCTCTCTCTCCCGGAGGG
The DNA here is from genome assembly GCF_000001405.40 of Homo sapiens. NCBI lineage: Eukaryota > Metazoa > Chordata > Mammalia > Primates > Hominidae > Homo > Homo sapiens. The sequence goes on along the minus strand of NT_187664.1, from coordinate 131,295 downwards.
TGCTCTGAGGAACCAGCCCTGGAATGAAGGCTTCTTGCTGGGCTTCAGTCTCCTGTCCCTCAGTGAACAGAGGGGCACATGCCGGGTTAGGGGCATGAGGACTGCTCCCCTGAGACCTCGGGTCTGTAAAAGGAAGCAGTTGGGCACACTGGCCGATGATCCTCTCCTGAGGTCCCAAGAGCAGGAAGCACTGAAGCCCAGCCCTGCTCACCACTGCAGGGTCGGGAGCGGCAGGAGTGGGTGGGTTAACATGCAGACCTCGTGTTGGGAAACGTTCACAGAAGTCTTCTGGTTCCCTGTGCTTCTGTGACACCCTCTCCCCCAGCTCTGCCCCATCTCTGGCTGTGTCCCCTGGAGGACCCCCAGGTCAGACTCATGGAGCTCCCTCCCCACCTCTGCTACGTAACGTCTGACCGCCCAGCAGGCAAGAGGGAGACTGGGAGTCCAGGCCGCGGTTCTTCTCTGGGTGTGAGTGGCCAGAGGACCTTCTCCTCCTTCCTGCCCTGTTCTCTGGGTGTGAGAGGCTGGAGGCCTCCTCCCCTCCCCTGCCGTGTTCTGGCTGAATGGACAGGGCTCTGCCTTTCTCACGCTGGAGAAGACTCTCCCTCTCCTGCCTGGACACTCCTAGGACCTCTAGCTGAGTGTGTTCAGAGCTGAGCTCCCTGCCTCCGGCGTCACCTGCTCCGCTTCCTGTCTTTACCTCACCGAGTGCTTCAGACTCTTTCTGGCTGCACCCCCTCCCCCACCTGTCCTGTGGACTCCACTTTTTGGCCGTTGCTCACAGCCGCCTTTTCCTCTTCTTGGCCACCCATGGCCCTCACCTGGACAGCTGCGTATCCTCCTGTGTGGCTCCTGCCTCCAGGCCCACTCACCTCCCACCCCCACCTCTCCTTAGAGGGGAGAGAGTCACTGAAACCTCGACGGCCCCTTCAGCGGATCCCCACGGCCCTCGGATGAAGGTCAGGCTCCGAGGAATGGCTCGAGAGACCCTTTGCACACTGACCCGTGTCCAGCCCCAGCCTTGGCAGCTTCCTCCCCGCACCTCTGTGCTCCTGACACTGGACTTTCTGTTCTCAGTTCCCAGGGCAGGCACTTTCTTAACTCTTGGTACTTGAGGCCCCGTGTGCCTGAAACGTCCTTCCCCCTCTCGTCTGGCCTCCCCTGGTCAGTTCCCAGCTTAGAAGGGACCTCCTCCAAGAAGGCTTTCCAAGTCGCCAAATGCAGGCCTTGTGCCAGTCCTCGTAGTGAGCACTAGTAACTGCCTGACTCCCCCAAACCACAAGTTCCAGGAGGACGGACTGCATTTCCTTTTTTTGTTGAGACGGAGTCTCACTCCTGTCGCCCAGGCTGGAGTGCAGTGGCGTGATCTCGGCTCACTGCAACCTCCTCCTCGCGGGTTCAAGTGATTCTCCTGCCTCAGCATCCCGAGTAGCTGGGATTACAGGCGCCCACCATCACACCCGGCTAATTTTTGTATTTTTAGTAGAGACGGGGTTTCGCCATGTCGGCCAGGCTGGTCTCGAACTCCTGACCTCAGGTGATCCGCCCGCCTCGGCCTCCCGAAGTGCTGGGATTACAGGCGTGAGCCACCGCGCCCGGCCTGCATTTCCTTCTTCTTAGACTCCCAGAACCAGCCCAGTGGTCACTGCTTGAATGAGTGAATGCACCGTGACCTTGACCACTGGGCCTCGGGAGAACTCGGAAGGGCATGGAGGGAGACGTTGCAGGGCCTGAGATTTCTGTCCTGAGAGTCCTGTTTCTCCAGCACAGCTTCTAGAGCCGTGTCACAAAGTGGGCTTGAATCCCAGCGCTGCCAGATTAAACCTGCAACTGGGCAACTTACCCAACCGCTCTGAATCAGCTTCCTCATCTGTAAAAAACAGGATAGTAACAGTATTTACCTCATTGGGTGATTTTGAGGAGTTAATATCTGAAAACTGCATGGGGCTGAGTGTGGTGGCTGACGCCTGTAATCCCAGCACTTTGGGAGGCTGAGGCTGGAAGATCACTTGAGGCTTAGAGTTCAAGACCAGCCTGGGCAACATAGCAAGACCCTATCTCTACAAAGAAATAGAATAGGCCTGACTGAGCGTGGTGGCTCACGCCTGTAATCCCAGCACTTTGGGAGGCCGGGGTGGGTGGATCGTGAGGTCAGGAGTTCGAGACCAGCCTGGCCTACATGGTGGAACCCCATCTCTACTAAAAATACAAAAAAATTAGCAGGGTGTGGTGGAATGCACCTGTAGTCCCAGCTACTCAGGGGGCTGAGGCGGGAGAATCGCTTGAACCTGGGAGGCAGAGGTTGCAGTGAGCCAAAACCACACCATTGCACTCCAGCCTGGATGACAGACTGAGACTCTGTCTCAAAAAAAAAAAAAAAAAAAAATGGCTGGGCACAGTGGCTCACGCTTATAATCCCAGCAACACTTTGGGAGGCCAAGGTGGGCGGATCACCTGAGGTCAGGAGTTCAAGACCAGCTTGGCCAACATGGTGAAACCCCGTTTCTACTAAAAATACAAAAATTAGCCGGGCATGATAACACGCACCTGTGATCCCAGCTACTACTCGGGAGGCTGAGGTGGGAGAATCGCTTGAACTCGGGAGGCAGAGGTTGTAGTGAGCCGAGATCGTGCCACTCCACTCCAGCCTGGGCGACAAGAGCAAGACTCTGTCTCAAAAAAAGAAATAGAATACAATAAAGTAAAAGAAAAAGTGCTTGGAACAGGGCCTGGAACATCATAAATTAATAAGTACTCAATAACTGGTCATTATCATCAGTGCCATTATTATTATTATTATTATTATTATTATTATTATTATTATTAAATTGGGAAGAGGCACCCTGGAAGGTATCCTTCCAAGGGAATGCCACACTCTGGTTCTAGCATACCCCCCCCTGCTCCCTCCGGTTCAGGGATGGTGAACACCTGTCATCACTGCCTGCTCACCTGAGCTGAGTGGCCTGGGGGGCATCCTCTCCTCATCCCTCAGGAGGGTAGAGGAGAGCAAACCTAGGGTTGCTGGAAACGCTGTCACAGTTTATCTTTGTCACTTGGACCTGGCTGTCCCCGGTTCTGGTCTTGGCTCCACAGGCCTGGCCGTGAATCTGCTACCCACCACTTTCCCTCCCCAGCATCGTGAACCGATGCCTGAGGCCCCTGGGGCTGCAGATTTGGGAGGGCCCGGGGGGAGCCGGGTCAGGTCTGGCATCCGGAGGTGGTTTATTTTCAGCCGAAGACTCTGGGTATTTGATTATTCGTTACTGAGAGAAGGGAATTAGCGTCTCTGCTGTTTGTTTTATGAGATCACTCCAGTGCCAGGCTGCTGTTTCCAGGCAACCTGCACTTCCCAGTTAATGAACCTGCCAAGCCAGGCCTCGGGCCCTACCGCCTGGGGTGACTGTGGCAGCGGCAGTCCCTGAGATTACCGTGACCCTGGACGCAGGCCTCCGCACGGCTGGCTCCTGCCCCTGGCTCCTGGGAGGGTGGTGTGCCAACCCGGGCCTCCAGGCTTTCTCCTTCTTGTGGGAAAGGGGGCAAGAGGAGCCTTTTCCTGGAAGAATATCGGTGATCTGACTTTGGCTTAGGCAGCGACTGTCTAGTATGCCTCGTGTAGCGTGGGCATTGATGGGCCGGGCCTCAGTACTCCCTGGAAAAGGAAATAAACTCCCTCCCGTCCGGCCCCGCCCCCTTTTAAGGTCAGGCCCCACCCCCTTTAAAACTCAGGCCCCGCCCTCTTTTAAAAGTCCGGCCCTGCCCCCTTTTAAAGTCCTGCCCTTCTGCAGCTGAGACCTGAATGCCTCTGGCCTTGGCGTCACGCCGGGCGTCCCCACTCGCGCTCCCCTCTGGCTTTTCCAGATGCCCCCCGCTCCCCTGCCCCACCAGCTTCCTCAAAGGGCTCTGCCTCTGTACTGGGAGGCTCCAGGCTCAGCCGATGCTGCGGCCAGCCTGCCCCCACCCCTACCCCCACCCCAGCCTCTCTGGGTCCTTGGGGAGCATGAGGATCCTGCAGAAAGCAGAGTGGTCCGGGGTGGGGGTCCACAGCAGCCCACTTCCCCCAGCACCTTGGTGGGAAGCAGAGGCCCCTGAGGAAGCCAGGCAGCAGCTGTATCCCCCTTGCTGCTGTATTGAAAAACATTTAAACCAGAAACTCCAAAGAATAACAGCAGAACCTTCTAATGAAGAAAATACAGCGTCACACATGAAGGTGGAGTCTCCCCTCCCTCCTCCCTCTTGAAGCAGCTACTGGCATGAATTTGGTGGATAGCCTTCCAGACTGCAGTTTGTGTGTTTACTACATATCTGTATCTATTTTGGGTTGGCCTGTACTTTAAAAAAAAAAAAAGGTCTTGCTATGTTGTCCAGGCTGGACTTGAACTCGGGCTCAAGTGATCCTCCCACCTCAGTCTCCCAAGTAGCGAGGGCTATAGGTGTGTGTACCACAGCTCCCAGCTGCATGTACTTTAAAAATGTGTCTAAGCCAGGCGTGGTGGCTCACGCCCGTAATCCCAGCACTTTGGGAGGCGGAGGCGGGTGGATCACCTGAGGTCAGGAGTTCAAGACCAGCCTGACCAATATGACGAAACCCTGTCTCTACTAAAAATACAAAAACTAGCCGGGTGTGGTGGTGCGTGCCTGTAGTCCCAGTTAGTCAGGAGGCTGAGGCAGGAGAATCACTTGAACCCAGGAGGCGGAGTTTGCAGTGAGCCAAGATCGTGCCAGTGCACTCCGGCCTGGTTGACAGAGCGAGACTCCATCTCAAAAAAAAAAAAAAAAGTGTATAAGTATACACATATATCATATTTTACAGTTCAACCCATGTTCGTTTTGGAGCTTGTCAGCAATCGTATTTTACAGTTCAACCCATGTTCGTTTTGGAGCTTGTCAGCAATGCTATGTGTAAATCGGGTGCATCCATGTTCATGGCTGTGTGCGCGGCTTCCCCCGTTTGTGAGCATTTGTTACCAGTCCCTCCACTATGAGGAGGAAAAGTGAGATGGTGAACACCCTTGAGTCCCCTGGGGCACACACATAGGCCATTTGCTCCAGAGCACTGCTGTCTAATGGAAATAGCTTATGAGCCACGTACATCATTTCACATTTTCTAATACCCACCTTTTTTTTGTTTTTTTGAGACGGGGTCTTGCTCTTGTCACCCAGGCTGGAGTGCAGTGATGCAATCTGGGCTCACTGCAACCTCCACCTCCTGGGTTCAAGCGATTCTCCTGCCTTGTCCTCCCAAGTAGCTGGGACTACAGATGCGTGCCACCACGCCCGGATAATTTTGTATCTTTAGTGGAGACAGGGTTTCACCATTTTGGCCAGGCTGGTCTCGAACTGCCAACCTTAGGTGATCTGCCCGCCTCGGCCTCCCAAAGTGCTGGGATTACAGTTGTGAGCCACCGCGCCTGGCCCCTAATACCCACATTTTTAAAAGTAAAAATAGGCAGGTGAAATTAATTTTGAGAATATCTTTTATTTATTCCCGCAGATCCAAATATTATTTGAACATGTAATCAGTATTTAAAAATTAACGAGGTAATTTACATTCTCTTTTACATACTAAGGCTTTGGAACCCACTGTGTATTTTACATGTCCGGCACGTCTCAGTTTGAACCGGCCGTATCTCAGGTGCTTGGTAGCCTCAGGTAGCTGGTGGCGACTGCACTGAACGATACGGCTCTGCAGTTTGTATGTAAAAGTGGATTTGCTAAGCAATCGATGGGCTGTGCCTATCCACACTGTTATTAGTTCAACTGAAAATAGGCCATGCCTATTCTCAGCTTTATTAGTTATTAACAAATTGCTCTCCAAATAATTGTACTAATTTACACTTCCCCGAGTAGTCTAAGAGTTTAAATTGGCCGGGCGCGGTGGCTCACGCCTGTAATCCCAGCACTTTGGGAGGCCGAGGCGGGTGGATCACGAGGTCAGGAGATCGACACCATCCTGGCTAACATGGTGAAACCCCGTCTCTACTAAAAAAAAATACAAAAAATTAGCCTGGCGTGGTGGCGGGCGCCTGTAGTCCCAACCACTCAGGAGGCTGAGGCAGGAGAATGGCGCGAACCTGGGAGGTGGAGCTTGTAGTGAGCCGAGATGGCATCACTGCATTCCAGCCTGGGTGACAGAGCGAGACTCCATCTCAAAAAAAAAAAAAAAAAAAAGTTTTAATTGGCCGGGCGCAGTGGCTCACACCTGTAATCCCAGCACTTTGGGAGGCCGAGGCAGGTGGATCACCTGAGGTTGGGAGTTTGAGACCAGCCTGACCAATATGGAGAAACGCCGTCTCTACTAAAAATACAAGATTAGCCAGGCGTGGTGGCGGGCGCCTGTAACGCCAGCTACTCGGGAGGCTGAGGCAGGAGAATCCCTTGAATCCGGGAGGTTGCGGTGAGCCGAGATCGCACCACTGTACTGCAGCCTGGGCAACAAGAGCGAAACTCCATCTCAAAACAAAAACAAAAACAGGGAGTTTAAATTTCCCCATATGCTTGCCAGCCGTTGCTGTCAATTAGACTTTTAAATTTTGACCCTTCTGATGAGTATAAAATATCTCGTGATGGCTTTAATTTGAATTTCTACCCTTTGGTCCCTTAAGAGGAAGTGCTTATATACAGCGCAGCGAAGCCTTTCCATAAATATTTGGGGAATTGACTTATGGAGCCTCGGTTTCCCCTTTTGCAGAAAGGGGCGATGGGGTCTGCCCTGCCTCTCAGAAGAGGCGAGGCTCTGTGTGGTTGTGACTCAGGTTGTGACTGTGTGAGTGACAGGCAAACGTGTAGTGAGGCTGGGGCTTTGGCTCCTTGGAGGTAGAGGAGGTGGAAGAGGTGAGGACGGGGCCTCAAGGCCAAGGGAAATGGAAAGACAGCATCTTCATTTGTTGTTTTGTTTTCTTTTTGAGACGGAGTCTTACTCTGTCACCCAGGCTGGAGTGCAGTGACACGATCTTGGTTCACTGCAGCCTCCACCTCTTGGGTTCAAGCGATTCTCCTGCCTCATTCTCCTGAGTACCTGGGATTACAGGCACGCGCCACCATGCCCAGCTAATTTTTGTATTTTTAGTAGAGACGGGGTTTCGCCATGTTGGCCAGGCTGGTCTGGAACTCCTGACCTCAGGCCTCCCAAAGTGCTGGGGTTACAGGCGTGAGCCGCCACGCCCGGCCAAGACAGCACCTTTAAATGTCGTTCCCCACGCTGCACGTGGGGAGGGAGGCCTGAGCAGGCCACACGTGCCAGCTCCCCCCAGCACACACACCCCCCTCTCTCCCTGCTCCGGCTAATTCCAGGATGTGAAGGAAGTATGAGACATTAAGGGATTTCAAACCCTGGGAGACCTTCACCGTGCTGAGGAAAGCTGGATGCTGTGAAGAGTTGAATTTCTAGCAGGCCAACAAAGGCCCTAGCCTGGTCTCCCCAACCCCAGACCCCCTCATTAACCTTATTGGCTGAGCTGGTTTCCATGGAAACTGTCCAGTTCAAAGGGACACTGTAATATGTTCATCCCTGCGTTTCCCCAAGTTCCCAACGAGCTGAGTGAGAGGTTTTCAGTGCAGGGGAGCTCCCGGTGCTCCGTGAAGCTTTCATCCATTCATTAATCCTCTCCCCTCCCACCCTCCTCTCCCTCTGTTCCCTGACTCCTCCCTGCAGGCCAGCCAGCTCGGTGTGTACAAAGCGTTTGTCGATAACTATAAAGTCGCTCTGGAGACAGCTGAGAAGTGCAGCCAGTCCAACAACCAGTTCCAGAAGATCTCAGAGGTAGGCCGCTCCCCACATAGCCACCCTGAGGGACAAGGAGCTTTGGGGGCTGCTCAGAGCCCTTGGTCTCCCCTCCCTCGCTTGCCAGTCGGTGAAGTGGTTACTCTAATGGGTAACACTTAGCCTGATATTTGCTTTCTTGCACCTGACATTTTCCCTCTTAATAGAAAACGATCTATTTTATTTATTTTTTTATTATTCTCTTTCAGATTAGAGAGAGGAACAGGGGAGGCAAAAAAAAAAAAAAAAAAAAAAAATCCAAGGCAGTGTTCTCCCACACCACACTATGGTGACCTTGAGCAAGTCACGTCCCCCCTCTTGGCTTTTATGTCCTGTCCGGTAGAATGAGGGGTTTAGAAATGGCCAGATAATCCTTTTTTTTTTTTTTTTTTTTTTGAGACAGAGTCTTGCTCTGTCGCCCAGGCTGGAGTGCAGTGGCGCGGTCTCGGCTCACTGCAACCTCTACCCCCTGGGTTCAAGTGATTCTCCTGCCTCAGCCTCCCAAGTAGCTGGGATTACAGGCGCACACCACCACGCCTGGCTAAGGTTTGTATTTTTAGTAGAGATGAGGTTTTGCCGTGTTGGCCAGGCTGGTCTCGAACTCGGGTGATGTGCCCGTCTCAGCCTCCCAAAGTGCTGACATTACAGGTGCGAGCCACTGAGTCCAGCTTGGCCAGCTAATCCTGACCTTGCTTGATAAGAATCACTGGGGCATTGTTTAAAACACAGATTTCCTGGCACCTTCCCCGGAGCTTCTGATTCAGAAGGCTTTGCGTGGGGCCCAAGATTCTATATTTGAACAAGCTTCTGGGTAATATTTATGACAGGGAAGTCTTGAGGAAATTTGGACTATAGGTCGTCTTTTAAGGTTCTTGCCAACTCTAAGACTGCCATCCCATAAACACAAAAAGGGTAAGAGCCACTTATGTGGAGAAGGAGCCTTAGAATCCCTGGCCGGGAACACGCGTGCTTCTGCTCCTGAGGCCCAGCCTTCCTGGCCAGGAACACGCGTGCTTCTGCTCCTGAGGCCCAGCCTACCTGGCCGGGAGCACACGTGCTTCTGCTCCTGAGGCCCAGCCTTCCTGGCTGGGAACACGCGTGCTTCTGCTCCTGAGGCCCAGCCTTCCTCCCGCACTCCTCCACAGGGCAGAGGTGCAGTCCTATCTGCCATCAACATTTCTACCTAAGAGGTGGCATGGAGGGACAGTTGCTTAGGATCCTTCAGGACAGAGCCCAGTTCATCCCTTTGTCCAAAAAGACCTCAGTGGCACCCCTGAAGCACTGGCCTGAGAGGAACAGCCCCCAGCTCAGGGCAAGAGAACCTCCATCCTAGAAAAGGGGAGAAGCTTCTGCAGTTTTGGGAGTCCTGCCGTAAAGGCCCCTCTTGGCCCTTTGTGTTCCCGTCTCAGCTCTAACGCTAGAAGAGTTGGGGAAACGCAGGGTAGTTTTCCTGAAACTTCAGGGGTGACGGTCGATGCCCACGTTTAGAATCCACCGAGAGGCAGCAGAGAAGCTGACAGTTGGAGATGAACATGTCACCTTCATTACTGTTAAAAAAATGCAGCTTGGAAAATGTGGATTTGGATCTGTAGCCACAGTGGGCTTGCTGACACTTCGCCTCTGGAATGAAACGTACCTATAGAAGCCGGGCGTGGCGGCTCACACCTGTCATCCCAGCACTTTGGGAGGCCGAGGCGGGCGGATCACCTGAGGTCAGGAGTTTGAGACCAGCCTGGCCAACGTGGCGAAACGCCGTCTCTACTAAAGATACAAAAATTAGCCGGGCGTGGTGGTGCACACTTGTAATCCCAGCTATTTGGGAGGCTGAGACAGGAGAATCTCTTGAACCCGGGAGGTGGAGGTTGCAGTGAGCTGCGATCACGCCACTGCACTCCAGTCTGGTGACAGAGCGAGACCCTGTCTGGAAAAAAAAAAGTATCTATTGAGTCCCTTGCAGGAATAGGAAAACACAGGCCCCTCTCCACAATGAGGACAGAGCCCACGCCTCTTACCCAGTGTGCAGAGAGAGGATGGCTGACCATAGTTTCTTCTCCCAGACCCATGGAGCAGATGTGTCACCCTCTGCCTGGGAGGACGAAGTGCAGGGTGGGGAAGTCCCTCTCCATGGAGTCAAGTGGCTGGAGAGGCCAGGTGCAGTGGCTCACGCCTGTAATCCCAGCACTTTGGGAGGCCGAGGCGGGAGATTGGCTTGAGCCCAGGAGTTCAAGACCGGCCTGGGAAACATGGTGAAACCCCGTCTCTATTAAAAATACAAATAAAAGGGGCTGGAGAAATGGTGCTTTCCCTGCGGTTTCCAGCCCAACCCAGGAACTACCTGGACTCCCCTGGTCTGTGTTCAGATCAGCCCTGCCAAGGCCGCCCAAGATCCCGGGGTCAGACATGGTGCAGAGAGTGTGGGGTCTTCTCTTGGCCTGGGCTGATTGCCTGTTCTCTGTGCCTAGGCAGAAACCCCCACACCCAACCATAAGCCCCTCACAGCCTGCCCACCCTGGAGGGCAGAGCCAGGCCCCTGGCTTTCTGCCAGGTGGCTTCTCATCCTGACTCACTCGATGACGTGCTTGCTTCCTGCTGAGGCTGCCACTTAATTACTGCAATTAGGCTCCTCTCTGCAGCAGGAGTGATTTCATACCCTAGACTTCACTGGAGGGGGCGTGAGGAAACATTCCCGAAATCTGGGAGTCCAGGCACCAGCCAGAGACACAGGCTGGGGACGCTGAGTATCCCCCACCCCCCCGCCCCCCAAAATATACACACACCCAAGCTCCATCTCCAGGAGTTTTCTCTGTCTAGAAACAGCTTGAGACAGAAGTAGGAAGTTCCTGCTGTCTGAGCGCTTCCTCCCCTGCAGACCAAGCAGGTGGCATCACCTCGGCAGCTGACCTTGGCCTCATCACCTGGGCAGCTGACCTTGGCCTCATCACCTGGGCACCTGACCCTGGCCTCATCACCTGGGCACCTGACCGTGGCCTCACCTTGCCTCCTGCCTTCCCTCCCACACCCCTCTTTGAGGCTCCGTGTGCTCCGTCTGCCAAGTGGGGATGGTATTACAGCTCCAGTTGCAGGCTGCACTGTCCTGTTAGCAAAAGCTGGGGCTGGAACGTCTCTAAAGGAGGATAAAGAGGCTTGGAGCAGATGAGTCATCCCGGGGGTCTTTCCAGTACTCACTACCTGCTGCCTGGCTTGGGATCCAGGAGGGGCATTGGCTGTTCCTCCCTCGAAGCTTCCTCTCGGACCCCCAGCATGGGCAGTGGTGGGTGGGGAGTGTCGGGGGTGCTGGGGGCTGAGTAAGTGCTCTCTGATGGGGGTAGGATGCAGCTCACTGTCCTGGGGAGCTCAGCATCTCTGCCGAAGGTCCACCACTTCCCTGCTGGCGTGTGGGACCCTTCCTTCCTACCTCATGGGTTCCTCATGCCCTAAAGATTGGCTGGAGTACCTGGCGCTGGTCAACTCAAACCCTGTCTGCCCTTGGCCGACGTGTAGGGTTCCTGAGTCGGGGTTCCTGTAATCACAGGGCTCCCTGCCAGCCTCTCTCATCTCTGGGACCTGGAGTCCCTTCCTTCTTGCCCACGCCCCAGCCACTGGACTCCACGAGGCTCCAGGAGTTCACAGGTGTGGTGCAGGGGATTGGGGTGGCAGAGGCAGCCCATGGCCATGGGGCTCCTTTGTCTTTCTTTTTTTTTTTTTTTTTTTTTTTTTTTTTTTTTTTTTTTGAGACAGAGTCTCGCCCTGTTGCCCAGGCTGGAGTGCAATGGTGTGATCTTGGCTCACTGCAACCTCCGCCTCCCAGGTTCAAGCGATTCTCCTGCCCCAGCCTCCCAAGTAGCTGGGATTACAGGCACCTGACACCACACCTGGCTAACTTTTGTATTTTTAGTAGAGATGGGGTTTCACCGTGTTGACCAGGCTGGTCTCGAACTTCCGACCTCAGGTGATCCGCCCACCACGGCCTCTCAAAGTGCTGGGATGACTGGCGTGAGCCGCCACACCCGGCCTCTGTTCTCATATGTACACCCTGAGTTTCAGAACTCCCCTTCTTGCCAGGCTCACAGTGGGGGCTGGGAGAGGTGAGGGACAGAACAGGCCATGACTCCTCTCCTCCCTTTGGCAGGAACTCAAAGTGAAAGGTCCCAAGGACTCCAAGGACAGCCACACGTCTGTCACCATGGAAGGTACCTCGGGGAGCGGGCTGGATTACAGGCACCTACCTTTGTCTGGCTGTGCAGGCAACAGGCTGCGTGAACGCGGCGCCCTTCCCCTTGTGTGTGCGTGTGTGTGAGCGCGTGTGAGCGTGAGCGTGTGTGAGCGCGTGTGAGTGTGAGCTGAGTGCGCGTGTGCGCGCACGCGAGGACTCTAGCCTCGTGCCCAGGCAGCCAGCCAGCTACAAACGTGCTCCTCTTTAGGATGCCAGCAGGCTGCTGGCTCCCTCCCTCCCTACCCCTCCTCCCCTTCCCCTTCCCTCCTCTCCTCGCCACGCGCCTCCCTCCCCTCCCCCTTGCTGGAAGAGCACTCCGGAGCGGCTGCCCGATGCTGGAGTCCGTGCGGCAGCATCAGCAAGGTGGCTGAGTGGCCGGGCTGCTGGTGGGCGCCGGGGAGCCTGGAGCGATGGCTGCACGCTCCCGCCGCGGGGACAGAGGCTGCCATGGAGATTCTCCTCATTATTCGCTTCTGCTGTAACTGCACCTATGGTAACCCAGGTGCTCGCTGTGGGAGGTGGCGGACCCTCCCACCTCTGGGGGCCGGCTGGAGTGGGCTTAGATGTGGCCGGGGAGGTTAGAGGGCCGCAGGGAAGGAGGGTGGGCGAGCGGCTGGACCTGAATTCCCCCTTCGTTTTGGCGGCATCCAGCCTAGAGTTGAAACCTGGGGGCTGCTCAGAGCAGGGCCGCTTGCAAATGGAAGGACCAGGCTGGAGGGGTCCAGGTGGCCCCGAGGATCGGTGGGGAATTGGTGGGCTAGTGTGAGAGAACTTCCTGGAGGGGCTGTTAGGGAGAGACGGCGACGAGCTGTGCCCGCAGACGTAGTAGCCCTGAGGCCAGGGAGAGGGTCTGCGGGGGCCAGGCACAGCGTGGCGATGGGTGGCGATGGTCCGGACGGCGGCGTTGCCAGCCGAGAGGGTGCCAGCGCGAGCCAGAGGGAGAAGTTGGGAGTTTCTTTGTTTCTGGAGAGAGGCGCGGAGGCTGGGCGGCACGGTATTGTGTGCTCCGCGCACATGCAGCAGTAGGCGGAGGACACGGAGGGGCTGTGGGAGCAGGAAGGAGAGGTTTGTTTCCAGCCGTGAGAGACCCCCAGCCGAGGTCTGGGCCCTCAACTGTGGAAGGCAGGTCGGCAGGGCCAGCGGGAGAGGGGTGTGGCAAGCTACTCTGTGAAGGTCACACACACACACACACACACACACACCACCTTTCGGTGGAAGGGACCCGGACCATCCTCCTTGCAGCTCCCGCAGCTGGCTGGGGGCTGGGGGGAAGTCCCGGGACAGGTGCATGTCATCAACACGACTGTCGGTCGTAGGAGGATGAAGCCGGCCCAGGTAGGGAGGTGTCCAGAAGCCCGTGGACCCTGCCTCAAGAGGCAAGACGTGCCAAGGGGTGCCCTGCCTGCCTGTGGCAGGGAGTGGGGTGGGCACGTGTGGCTCCCAGGCCGGCTGCTCTGGGCCTGAGTCTGTGGGAGCAGCAGGCGGCTGGTTTTAGGACCTTCCTCTTCCTTCCCACCAGGTGTTTCGGCTCTGCACCCTTCTCAGTCACTTTGCTTTCCTATCTCCCTGGTAACCTGGAGCTCCTTGGAGCTCCTTGTCGAAGGCTGACTTGAGGGGGATGGTGGCTTGCCGGAAGAGAGATGGCAGGTTTCCTGGGCTCCTTCCCAGGGGCGGCTGTGCTGGAGGGGCTGTGTGGGGCCAGTGCCCCCTGACCTTCTCAGGACCCTCTTGATGGAAGCAAGCTCTGAGGCAGCCTCTCTCCTGCGGCCCAGCAGGGCGGCTGCAGGAACCCTGTTCTCACTTGAAATTGGCCTGGTCAGCGATCAGAGGAGAAATGGTCTTTTTGGTCTGGCCTAGGAGTTGGTCAGGTCTTGACTCTGCCTCCCTGAAAAGGAAACGTACCCTTGGCTTCCTCTCCCTTCCCCAAAAGGAAGCTTCGACTCAGTGAAACGGACCTGGGACCTGGAGTTCACGTTGCTTCGGTCTCCGTGATACTGTTGTTGAAGTCGGCTTCAAAGTGGGGAATGAGGAGTGAAAGGGCCAGCTCGTGAGGAGGGGGCTCACCCCATCCTGGTCACTCTTTCCAAGAACGCTCCTGTGGTTCATTGAGGTTTTACAGGTGCTGCCTTTCCCTGAAGAAGGTGCAGCTCAAAGCAAGGAGTGCGGGTGGATCTACCCAGCTCCCACCACTTGTAGCCACAAGTCTCTGGCCTCAGTTGCCTTGTCTGTAAAATGGGGCTAGTGAGAATTGCTTCCCGTTTTAATCACAGGAAATAATGAGAGCAAAGCAGTTAACTCAGTACCCTTGGGCACAGAGCGAGTACCCAGCAAACTAGAGAGAGACCAGCTTGCTGCCCAAGTCAGTGTCAGTGGAGAGGGAGAGTGGGTGAGGCCGGGCAGGAAGCAGGCCAGCCTGCAGGAGCCCAGGGACAGGGGAAGGGCCAGAGCGAGTGCCTCACCCTGAGTTCTCAGGGGACCCCAGCGTGCAGGGGCCGTGGGGAGCACAAACTTCAGGGCCGCTCTTATTCCCCCGGTTCCCTCCGTATCTGATGTGGTCCCAGTGCCGCCACCCCCCCCACCCCCACCCCCCCCGTGCACCTGCCCTCCTGGCCGCCCTTCCAGGGCTCATTCCACAGCCTTACTCAGGTGGACTCTGGAGGTGACCACAGACATGTTAATAACCCCTCTGAAACCCAACCTGCCATGTGTTCAGACCTCTGAGCTTAGTCAGAAACCTCTTCCTCTTGGGACCCAAGAGAGGGCTGCGGGGAGCCGATAATGCAGTGTCAGCTTTCTGTGGAGCCGCCACTCCGGAGCCCACCCTGGCAGGTGTCTGCTGAGCTTGTGCTTTCTTTTGGGTCTCTGGGGTTCTCCAGTGTGATTTTTTCCCCCTGAAGATGGGCTGAGCCACAGGTGGGTGCCTTAAACAGCCTCAGAAATGGATCCCACCTGAGCTAGGACCTGGGCTGCACCCTCAGTGCCGAGGATACCCCAAGACTGGCCTCATTCCTTCAAGCTTCCATGGCCCATGGGGAGGGTCTCTGGAAACTGCTAGATAAGAAAGGGCTACAGATATGTCATATGAAGTGTATTTACGTAAACCAGTGGTTGGCCGGGTACTCATGCCTGTAATCCCAACTTTTGGCAGACTGAGGCAGGAGGATTGCTTGAGGCCAGGAGTTCGAGACCAGCTTGTATTTGGCTTGAGGCCAGGAGTTCGAGACCAGCAACATAGTGAGACCTTGTCTCTATATTTATTTTTATTTAAACGAAGACTCACTGTGTCGCCCAGGCTGGAGTGCAATGGCGCAATCTCAGCTCACTGCAACCTCTGCCTCCTGGATTCAAGAGATTCCCCTGCCTCAGCCTCCCAAGTAGTTGGGATTATAGGCGCCTGCCACCACACCTGGCTAATTTTTGTATTTTTAGTAGAGATGGGGTTTCACCATGTTGGCCAGGCTGTTCTTGAACTCCTGACCTCAAATGATCCACCCGCTTCGGCCTCCCAAAGTGCTGGGATTACAGGCGTGAGCCACCCTGCCCGGCCCCTCGTCTCTATATTTTTAAAAAAATTAAAATAAATACATAAATAAAACATAAAGCAGTGGTTTTCAACCATTATTATACATTCAAATCAGTAAAGAAGCTTTATAGAAATGCTGATGGCCCTTGTGGTCTTGCAGAGATTTGGGTTGAGTTGACGGGGCTGGGGAGCAGCATCTGTATCTTTTAACCGCTCCCCCAGTGATTCCGACAGGCAGCCAAGCTCGGACTGCGGGTAAGGCTGGTGGCCCTGCTGAGGCTGCATTTTCTTCACAGCCAGCAGATTGCTCCCTGAAGTGTCTGCTTAGCCGCGCACGGGGTATTTATATCTCAGGCTTTGGAGAACTATCAGGTTTGGGGCCCGGCTAGGGCGTGCGTGTTCACGCTGGGACCTGTCACAACCTGGTCTTATGGGACACCCAGTCTGGGATCCTTCTTCCCAGATGACCAACCTGCCTCTGTCACTGCCCCTGCGGCAGGAGGCCCAAGGTCATGACCCCAGGGACAGAGCATCCAGGTGCAGGACTGAAGCTGAGCCTCCTGTTGGGAGGGTGGGCGCAGCCGCGTACAGGAAGGGTGTTGGGAAGTGTTGATCCACCAGCTGCCACCTCCACCTGTCCCTGCTGAATCCCAGCCATCCTCACTTGGTGTCCGGGTTGTGGAGGGTGTGGCTCTTGGGGGCCTGGGCTGGCCTTGCCTGCGTCCTCCCAGCCTCTTTGGGGCTCTCATATGTGAGGCCTAACCTGAGTTGCTTCAGGAAACCTTTGCCCCTCAGGCTGCCACGTGTTTGAGAGCACAGCCTTTTTTCTTTTTTTTTGAGATGGAGTTTTGCTCTTGTTACCCAGGCTGGAGTGCAGTGGCATGATCTTGGCTCGCTACAACTTCCGCCTCCCGGGTTCAAGTGATTTCCCTGCCTCAGCCTCCCAAATAGCTGGGATTACAGGCATGTGCCACCACGCCTGGCTAATTTTTGTATTTTTAATAGAGATGGGGTTTCACTGGTTGGCCAGGCTGGCCTCGGGGAGCAGAGCCTTTCTGTGGAGATCAGGCCAGCCTCCTGGCCTCCAGCCTCCCTGCCTCCAGCCTTCCTGTGCTTTGCTATCTGGGGTTTGAGGATGTGGGGAGGGGTCTTTCCTCTGAGAGATGAGGCCAGTCCTGTGGATCACAGTGAGGCATGCCAATC
This sequence comes from Homo sapiens, assembly GCF_000001405.40. NCBI lineage: Eukaryota > Metazoa > Chordata > Mammalia > Primates > Hominidae > Homo > Homo sapiens. Next base: position 114,597 of record NT_187664.1, on the reverse strand, counting down.
CCAGCTGGCTGTGCCTGGCCTTCAGCTCCAGGAGCCTGAGAATGATAAGGTCTGGAGAGCTGCCCTTCCTGGAAACACAGCATGTCTCCTTCCCCCATTCTGGGGTCCTGCATGTGGCAGGTGTGCTAGACTCTGCAGGGCATGGCTGGGTGGAGCTGTGTGATTCTGGGGTTCTGCGTGTGGCAGGTATGCTGGACTCTGCGGGGCGTGGCTGGGTGGAGCTGTGTGATTCTGGGGTCCTGCATGTGGCAGGTGTGCTAGACTCTGCAGGGCATGGCTGGGTGGAGCTGTGTGATTCTGGGGTTCTGCGTGTGGCAGGTGTGCTGGACTCTACGGGGCGTGGCTGGGTGGAGCTGTGTGATTCTGGGGTCCTGCGTGTGGCAGGTGTGCTAGACTCTGCGGGGCGTGGCTGGGTGGAGCTGTGTGATTCTGGGGTCCTGCGTGTGGCAGGTGTGCTGGACTCTTCGGGGCGTGGCTGGGTGGAGCTGTGTGATTCTGGGGTCCTGCGTGTGGCAGGTGTGCTGGACTCTTCGGGGCGTGGCTGGGTGGAGCTGTGTGATTCAGGGCTGGGGGTCCAGGAGAGCATCTGCCTTGAGCCAGGTGAGGCCAGGACAGGCCTGGGGAGGGGGGCGGGGCGGCTCTCGATGAAGCCATGTCTGATGGGAGAGGAGGCAGGGCTGCGGAGGGAGCAGGGGCTGCCAGGGCTGTGTGTCACCTGTGTCTGCTGTTTGGTCGGCCCGGGGAGTGAGAACAGAGGTGGGGGCTGCCGTGGGCTCACTCTGGTGTCCCTCGAGGGGTGTTCACGTGGGAAGCATGCGGGTGGGGGGACGAAGCTGGTCTCTGGGGTGTTGGGTTGCCCTCGTCCATCATCCTCTTCCTCCTTCTCCCTGTCTCCCCCGACAGCTCTGCTCTACAAGCCCATTGACCGGGTCACTCGGAGCACCCTAGTCCTACACGTGAGTGTCAAGCCTCCGAATGGCCAGAGAGGGCTTAGGAGTTCAGTGGAAGACTGAGCCTGGGTGAGAGGGTGCTGGAGTCACCGAGAACAGTCCACCTGGGGAATCAGGGGTTCCTAGGCTCCAAGGATGCCTGTCTGGCCCGCGGTATCCATGCCGCCAGGCTAGGGCCTGAATACAGCTTGGCTACTAAGCTTGACGTGGCCAGGTGCTCCCGGGGAGGCAGGCATTCCTGCTTCCCCACCCGCTGCCTCCTGGTCTCCAGTGTCCTTGGAGCAGCTGCAGGGCAGACACAGGGTTTCTCTCCCAGCTGCTCGGGGGGATGAGCCTCCACCTGGTCTCCACACTGGGGAGAGAGTATGACTGTGGCCAGGAGAAGAGGGGGCAGCCAGGGCCCTCTCCCCTGCTGTGCTGGCTCTGATTTTTTTTTTTTTTTTTTTTTTTTGAGGCGGAGTCTCACTCTGTCACCCAGGCTGGAGTGCAGTGGTGCGATCTCGGCTCACTGCAACCTCTGCCTCCTGGGTTCAAGCAATTCTCCTGCCTCAGCCTCCCGAGTAGCTGGGACTACAGGCGCCCGCCACCACGCCCAGCTAATTTTTATATTTTTACTAGAGATGGGGTTTCACCACGTTGCCCAGGCTGGTCTCGAACTTCTGACCTCAAGAGATCCCCCGCCTCGGCCTCCCAAAGTGCTGGGATTTCAGGCATGAGCCGCCGTGCCCGGCCTGACTCTGATTTGTAGTTCAGATTTTGCGGGAATTAGGCAGGTCCCTGAGTGCCCACCCTTTGGATGGGGACTGAGCACTCCCCGGTGGCCACACATCAGGCCCCAGAGCCGCTCCCCTCAACTCACCGCCTCACCCTTCCCAGGACCTGCTGAAGCACACACCTGTGGACCACCCCGACTACCCGCTGCTGCAGGATGCCCTCCGCATCTCCCAGAACTTCCTGTCCAGCATCAACGAGGACATCGACCCCCGCCGGACTGCAGTGACAACGCCCAAGGGGGAGGTGAGCTCAGAGCCCGGCACGGCCCCTCACCCAGGCTGAGAAGTATCAGGTCCCTCGTCCCCTTCTCTCACACACGGGCGGCAGGTCCCTCGTCCCCTTCTCTCACACACGGGCGGCAGGTCCCTCGTCCCCTTCTCTCACACACGGGCGGCAGGTCCCTCGTCCCCTTCTCTCACACACGGGCGGCAGGTCCCTCGTCCCCTTCTCTCACACACGGGCGGCAGGTCCCTCGTCCCCTTCTCTCACACACGGGCGGCACCGGGTGCCTCCTGCCTCTCCAATCCTGATCCCCCATTCCCAGCCAAGGAGAGGTTTTCAGCCCTTGGTCACCCTGATGACCTGCAGCTTTCCAGGCCCTAGGCTGAGAAGTTTAAGTCCAGTGTCTCATTAATCCTCATAATAATCTAGGGAGGCCGGGCACGGTGGCTCACACCTGTAATCCCAGCACTTTGGGAGGCTGAGGCAGGTGGATCACTTGAGTTAGAAGTTTGAGACCAGCCTGGCCAACATGGTGAAGCCCCGTCTTTACTAAAAATACAAAAATTAGCTGGGCGTGGTGGCGGATGCCTGTAGTGCCAGCTACTCAGGAGGCTGAGGCAGGAGAATTGCTTGAACCCAGGAGGCGGAGGTTACAGTGAGCCGAGATCGCACCACTGCACTCCAGCCTGGGTGACAGAGTGAGACTCCATCTCAGAAATAATAATAACAATCCAGTGAGCCAGAAGAACCTGAGGCTGGGGAGTCTCTCCAGGTCCACCACGCAGTCTTTCAGCCACTGGTGTCAGAGCTGGATTCCTCACCTGGGACTGTCTGGAGGCCCACGCCGGGGAAGTGGCCTCCGGGTGCCTCATTCTTGAATGCAGACACCTGCCTCTGGCCAGTGTGATGCCGTCAGGGTCTCCTAGGAAGCGAAGGGAGCAGGAGCTTGGAGCTGCTTCAGCTCGGCCTGCACACGCAGTGGCTTGCGGGGAGCCCACAGCAGGAAAGGCTGGCGTTGGAGGTGGTGGAGGCCGTCCAGGTTGCCGGAATGTCCAGTGGGCACCTGCATGTGGGACAGCCGTTCCCTGGGGGCCCTTCTTGATGCAAGGGTGGGGACAGCCCAGCAAGGGGAGTACCAGGAAGCATGAGAGGGACAGTTGCCTTCGTGGATTGGCAGCCGGGCCCGGGTGAAAGGCTTCCTGTCCAGGGGAGGCCATTAGGCGGCCGTTACGAGTGAGGCTGACAGGGTGTCTGCTCCTGTGGTCTGTTTACGAGCCCCCAGGGTCTCCTGGGGAGAAAGTGGTGAGGGACAGGCCTGGACAGTGTCCACTGGGCAGAGAGAGCCGATTCCGTGCGGCTCCTGGTGCTGATGTGCAGCGTCTGGGGATCCCGTCGTCTGTTTTACTCTGGGGATATCTGAAAAATCTCCAGAGGGCTTAGCGTACCCTCCGTTTTCAGTCATCCTTTTTTTGAGACTGAATCTCATTCCATCGTCCAGGCTGGAGTGCAATGGCGTGACCTCAGCTCCACTGCAGCCTCCACCCTCTGGGTTCAAGCAATTCTCCTGCCTCATCCTCCCAAGTAGCTGAGATTACAGGCAGGCGTCACCATGTCTGGCTAGTTTTTGTATTTTTAGTAGAGACGGGGTTTCGCCACGTTGGCCAGGCTGGTCTCAAACTCCTGACCTCAGGTGATCCACCCGCCTCAGCCTCCCAAATTGCTGGGATGACAGGTGTGAACCACTGCGCCCGGCCTCGGTCATCTTAATTGTATACTTTGAATACGCTCACCTACGTATTACAGCAGATGTAGGTCACACCGTGTATCATACAGGAAAGGCTGGCACAGATGGGGACGACCCCCCGGCTCTGAGCGGGGGTTGGAAACTCTGGAACTCCCACGTGGAGCAGAAACCACCCAGAGCCCAGGTTAGAGTTGGCTGCAGGTCCCCTCTGGGCACTGCTGCAGTCCCAGGCTGGAGGGCCCAGGTCTCATCCCCAGGGGGCTGGAGAAGCCAGGGAGGAGTAGCACAGACAGGCCTGAGTGGGTCTCGGGTCTCGGGTCTCGGTTGAGCCGGGGCTAGATGAAGTTCGCCGCCGCGGTCGGGAGGGATTGCAAACGGGGATGTTCGTGCCCCAGGGTGGAGAAACCAGGTCGTCCAGGGCAGGGGGCTCCAGGGTTAGCCGCGGAGAGCCCCGTGCGTTGCACACACTTAATGTGCCAGGCACTGTGCTGTTTCACATGCACCATCTCGATGAGTCACCTTATGAGGCAGACCTCACTGTCCGCACTTAACAGAAGGTGAATCTGGGATTCAGAGAGGTCAGGGAGCCTGTCTGAGATCACAGCTGAGAAGCCTGTTGGCATTCAAACCCATGCCCATGTGACTCCAAAGGCAGTGCTTGAACCACCTTTGGTTAAGGGATGACAGGCTATGCCGCCTCTCGGTCCAGTCCTCCCTGGCTGGCCATGCCCCCGTGTGCAGGCTCTGCCCTCGGCCGCATTCCCCTCTGAGCAGGCTGGGGGGTCTGCCATCTCCCTCAGACGCGACAGCTGGTGAAGGACGGCTTCCTGGTGGAAGTGTCAGAGAGCTCCCGGAAGCTGCGGCACGTCTTCCTCTTTACAGATGTCCTACTGTGTGCCAAGCTGAAGAAGACCTCTGCAGGGTGAGTGTGTGAGTCCAGGGGCACGGGGCGGGGGAGGGGGTCCGGACCTCTGCGGGGTGAGTGTGCGAGTCCGGGGCGGGGGAGGGGGTCCTGACCTCTGCGGGGTGAGTGTGCGAGTCCAGGGGCGGGGGAGGGGGTCCGGACCTCTGCGAGGTGAGTGTGTGAGTCCAGGGGCGGGGGAGGGGGTCCTGACCTCTGCGGGGTGAGTGTGTGAGTCCAGTGGCACAGGGCGGGGGAGGGAGGCCGGACCCTGCCACCCATGGAGCCTTCAGCAACTTTGTTGGTTTTTTTTCTTTTGAGACAGGGTCTTGCTCTGTTGCCCAGGCTGGAGTGCAGTGGTGCGATCTCGGCTCACTGCAACCTCTGCCTCCCGGGTTCAAGCGATTTTCCTGCCTCAGCCTCCTGAGTAGCTGGGATTACAGGTGCACGCCACCATGCCACCATGTCTGGCTAATTTTTGTATTTTTAGTAGAGACGGGGTTTTGCCATGTTGGCCAGGCTGATCTCAAACTCCCAACCTCAGGTGATCTGCCCGCCTCGGCCTCCCAAAGTGCTGGGATTACAGGCATGAGCCACCGCGCCTGGCCGGTTTTTTCCTTTTAAAAACTATATTAATTAACTTAATTTCACTACATAGCCTTTTTTCCTGAAAGTAAGTCATGTTTTTAATTATAAAGATAATATAAGGCCATTGGAGGAAACCCCGTCCCCCACTGAAGCATGAGGTCCGACTCCTGCCGCGCTGCTTCCTTCCCTGTTTTTAAATGTTCTCATGTTTCTTCACACAGTCGTAATCACTGTGAATGCCCAATTTGGGGCTCTGCTGTTTCTGTTTCGTGTCATAAGCATTTTCCCTGTTGCTGCCTCATCTTCATAATCATCCTTTTACTTTCCTGCACGATGTTACCCGTAGATGTGCCATCGTCTACTTAAGCATTCTCCTTTTATTAGACATCTCTGAATTTCTGCTAACTGCAGTGCTGTGAATATTCACCACGTCTCCTGCTACTATTTATTGAGGGTTTATGCCATGCCAGGTGCCGTGACACATGCTTTGAATACATGATTTCTAGTCCTCCCAACACCTCCACAAAGTAGCGACTGTTGTTCCCTAATCATAGATGAGAGAGGAGTCTTGGAGAAGGTAAATAAGCAGCCCAAGCTCGCACAGCTAGAGGCACAGGTGGGACTGGAACCCCAAGCTGACGTGCAAACTCCTTTGAGCCTCCTTCTCTCTACCCGGGAGGGTGGGACTGGAACCCCAAGCTGATGTGCAAGCTCCTTTGAGCCTCCTTCTCTCTACCCGGGAGTGTGGGTCTGCTCTGTGCCTTGAGCAGAGGCTCATTCTGCGTTCATTCACACATTCTTCCACCCACACTTAGTGATCAACTGCAGTGTGCCAAGCACACCCCTTCTCACGGCTGAGAAGCGGCAGTCTGGATTCAAACCCGTGTCTGTGGGACTCGTTTACCATCAGGCTATCTTGCCTCTCCCTTCAGCCCTCCCTGGTTGGCTGTGCCCCCAAGTACAGCACAGGGGACTCCACAGCCAGTGTGTTACACCACCAGGCTATCCTACCTCTCCCTTCAGCCCTCCCTGGCTGGCTGTGCCCCCAAGTATAGCTCAGGGGGAGCAAGCCCCACGCCCACCTCAACACTCAAGGGTCAGAATGAGAAGTGCAAATCTAAGTCCTAGGGGAAGGATCGATGATTATGAACGTCAATAAAGGGATGACTGGGCGGGCACGGTGGCTTATGCCTGTAATCCCAGCACTTTGGGAGGCCAAGGCGGGTGGATCACCTGAGGTCAGGAGTTTGAGACCAGCCTGGCCAACATGGCAAAACTCCGTCTCTACTGAAAGTACAAAAATTAGCTGGGTGTGATGGCAGGCACCTATAATCCCAGCTACTTGGGAGAATGAGGTGGGAGAATCGCTTGAACCCTGGAGGCAGAGGTTGGAGTGAGTGGAGATCGCGCCATTGCACTCCAGCCTGGGAACAAGAGCAAAACTCCATCTCACAAAATAAAAATAATTTAAAAAATAATAATAATAAAGGACATGACTCCCTGGAACTAGATCATGTTTGAGATAGTTCTGAGGCAGAGATGGCAATAATAAGCACACATGCTTCTGCCTGTCGTCCTTTGCGATGGCAGACATTACTAATCACATATGCCTCTGCCTGCTGTCCTTTGCCATGGCAGACATCACTAATCAACTAGGGCACACTTTCTTGCTAGACTTGGATGTGGCTTTGTAATCCTCCACCCAGTGTTGACCCATGTGACCACTCTTGATAAGAGGTGGCATTTGGAATAACACCTGTATTCCATTGCTAGCCTGAAGGATATTGAACACGGATAGTCTAGAAGGGAGGGAGGGGATTGTGGTGGGGAATAGGAAAATGTGAGCCCAGCCAGGAAGGCTTCGCTCTTCTTGATACCTAAGTGGTTTGGGATGTTTGACAACATGAGTCATCTGGGCCAGAAGCCTGGTAAGGTGAAGGGGCGGAGTTGCTCCCTGCGGGCGGGGCGGACCCCAGAACCCAGCTTTCATCACTCCAGTGTGTGTTTCCCAATCAGGCTCCTCAGGAGCAGGGATCGTTCGTGCTTCTGGCGAGTTCTCAGTCAACCCGTCAGTGGTTTTGTGGTTCTGGACCCAAGAGTTGAGGCTGGAAGAGCCAGGCTCCCTCTGGCTCATGGCTCCCTCTGGCTCGTTTGCAGGAAGCACCAGCAGTATGACTGTAAGTGGTACATCCCCCTGGCCGACCTGGTGTTTCCATCCCCCGAGGAATCTGAGGCCAGCCCCCAGGTGCACCCCTTCCCAGACCATGAGCTGGAGGACATGAAGATGAAGATCTCTGCCCTCAAGAGTGAAATCCAGAAGGAGGTGAGCAGAGCTTGGTATCTGAGCCTGGGGCCCTTTGAGCCAGCTGTGTTGGGGGAGGTGGAGGTGGGAAGTTGTAAGGTTTGAGACTTTGAGAGGGAGCCTTGAGTGTGTAGTTACTAAGGGAAAGACCCCGACTACAGTAGCTCCAAGCAGATCGAGGGGGTCAGTGCTCAGGATTTCATAGGGCTAACATGGGAAGTGCCCTGGAAAGCAGTGCATGTTGAACACGATAGAAAGGGGAAGCAAGTAGCCAGGCGCAGTGGCTCACACCTGTAATCCCAGCACTTTGGAAGGCCGAGGCAGGTGGATCACCTGAGGCCAGGAGTTCGAGACCAGCCTGGCCAACATGGCAAAACCCTGTCTCTACTAAAAGTACAAAAATTAGCAGAGTGTGGTGGTGGGCACCTGTAATCCCAGCTACTCGGGAGGCTGAGGCAGGAGAATGGCTTGAACCCGGGAGGTGGAGGTTGCAGTGAGCCAAGAACATGCCAATGCACTCCAGTCTAGGCAATAGAGTGAGATTCTGTCAAAAACAAAAAAAAAAAGTGGAGGTAGAGGGAAGCAAGAGAAGAAAAAGCAGGCTTTTGTAAGGAAAAGCAGGACCTGTGCAAGGAAAAAGACCTGGGAGGCCTCTCAGAAACTGACAGATCAAGTAGGCAAATAAATAAGGAGAGAGAGGCCCTGAATGCCACAATTAACATGCTTGACTTAAAAATGCAGAGAAGCTTGTGCCCTGACAGAAAACTGAGATTCTTGTCACACACGTTTGGGACCTTCACATTTATCCTATAATAGGCCACTAAGGAAATCTCAAAATTTTTCTGCAAGTTGATAGCATACAAGTCATGTTCACAGACCACAGTGGAGTAAAATTAGAAGTGAACAAGAATATTGGTCAGCCTGGGTGCAGTGGCTCACACCTTTAATCCCAGAACTTTGGGAGGCTGAGGATGGTGGATCGCCTGAGGTCAGGAATTCAAGATCAGCCTGGCCAACATGGTAAAAATCCATCTCTACTAAAAATACAAAATTATCCAGGCGTGGTGGATCATGCCTGTAATCCCAGCACTTTAGGAGGCCCAGGCAGGCAGGTCACCTGAGGTCAGGAGTTTGAGACCAGCCTGGCCAACATGGTGAAACCCCATTTCTACTGAAAATACAAAATTAGCCTGGCGTGGTGGCTTCCGCCTGTAATCCCAGCTACTCAGGAGGCTGAGACAGGAGAATTGCTTGAACCTGGGAGGCAGAGGTTGCATTGAGCTGAGATTCCGCTGCTGCACTCCAGCCTGAGCAACAGAGTGAGACTGTCTCAAAAAAAAAAAAAAAAAGCATTGGTTTGGAAAGTTCAAACTGACAAGGTAAAGAGGAAATCAAAATTCAAAATGAGAACTGCAAACTGTTTAGTGCTGTCTGGAAATGAGTGTACTACATACCAGTACCCATGGATGCAGCCAAAGTGCTGTTTAGAGGAACATGAATAGCCCTCAGTTCACATAACAACAGTGTCTAGAGGAACATGCATAGCCCTCAGTTCACATAACAACAGTGTCTAGAGGAACATGCATAGCCCTCAGTTCACATAACAACAGTGTCTTGTAACATGCATAGCCCTCAGTTCACATAACAACAGCGTCTAGAGGAACATGCATAGCCCTCAGTTCACGAAACAGCAGCGTCTAGAGGAACATGCATAGCCCTCAGTTCACGTAACAGCAGCGTCTAGAGGAACATGCATAGCCCTCAGTTCACGTAACAACAGTGTCTAGAGGAACATGCATAGCCCTCAGTTCACGTAACAGCAGTGTCTAGAGGAACATGCATAGCCCTAAGTTCACATAACAGCAGTGTCTAGAGGAACATGCATAGCCCTCAGTTCACATAACAACAGTGTCTAGAGGAACATGCATAGCCCTCAGTTCACATAACAACAGCGTCTAGAGGAACATGCATAGCCCTCAGTTCACATAACAACAGCGTCTAGAGGAACATGCATAGCCCTCAGTTCACGTAACAGCAGCGTCTAGAGGAACATGCATAGCCCTCAGTTCACGTAACAGCAGCGTCTAGAGGAACATGCATAGCCCTCAGTTCACGTAACAACAGTGTCTAGAGGAACATGCATAGCCCTCAGTTCACATAACAGTGTCGAGAGGAGCATGCTTAGTCCTCCTCTCACATAATAACAGCGTCGACAGGAGCATGCTTAGCCCTCAGTTCACGTAACAACAGTGTCTAGAGGAACATGCATAGCCCTCAGTTCACATAATAGCAGTGTCTAGAGGAACATGTATAGCCCGCAGTTCACGTAACAACAGTGTCTAGAGGAACATGCATAGCCCTCAGTTCACATAACAACAGTGTCTAGAGGAACATGCATAACCCTCAGTTCACATAACAGTGTCTAGAGGAACATGCATAGCCCTCAGTTCACATAACAACAGTGTCTAGAGGAACATGCATAGCCCTCAGTTCACATAACAACAGTGTCTGGAGGAACATGCATAGCCCTCAGTTCACGTAACAGCAGTGCTAGAGGAACATGCATAGCCCTCAGTTCACGTAACAACAGTGTCTAGAGGAACATGCATAGCCCTCAGTTCACATAACAACAGCGTCTAGAGGAACATGCATAGCCCTCAGTTCACATAACAACAGCGTCTAGAGGAACATGCATAGCCCTCAGTTCACGTAACAACAGTGTCTAGAGGAACGTGCATAGCCCTCAGTTCACGTAACAGCAGCGTCTAGAGGAACATGCCTAGCCCTCAGTTCGAGTAACAACAGTGTCTAGAGGAACATGCATAGCCCTCAGTTCACGTAATAGCAGTGTCTAGAGGAACATGTATAGCCCTCAGTTCACATAACAACAGTGTCTAGAGGAACATGCATAGCCCTCACTTCACATAACAACAGTGTCTAGAGGAACATGCATAACCCTCAGTTCACATAACAACAGTGTCTAGAGGAACATGCATAGCCCTCAGTTCACATAACAACAGTGTCTAGAGGAACATGCATAGCCCTCAGTTCACATAACAACAGTGTCTAGAGGAACATGCATAGCCCTCAGTTCACGTAACAGCAGTGCTAAAGGAACATGTACAGCCCTCAGTTTCACGTAACAAACAGTGTCTAGAGGAACATGCATAGCCCTCAGTTCACATAACAACAGTGTCTAGAGGAACATACATAGCCCTTCAGTTCAACATAACAGCAGTGTGTAGAGGAACATGCATAGCCCTCAGTTCACATTAACAACAGTGTCTAGAGGGAACCATGCATAGCCCTCAGTTCCACGTAACAGCAGTGCTAGAGGAACATGCATATCCCCTCAGTTCACATAACAACAGTGTCTAGAGGAACATGCATAGCCCTCAGTTCACATAACAGCGTCTAGAGGAACATGCATAGCCCTCAGTTCACATAACAGCAGTGTCTAGAGGAACATGCATAGCCCTCAGTTCACATAACAACAGCGTGTGGAGGAACATGCATAGCCCTCAGTTCACGTAACAGCAGTGCTAGAGGAACATGCATAGCCCTCAGTTCACATAACAACAGTGTCTAGAGGAACATGCATAGCCCTCAGTTCACATAACAGTGTCTAGAGGAACATGCATAGCCCTCAGTTCACATAACAGCAGTGTCTAGAGGAACATGCATAGCCCTCAGTTCACATAACAACAGCGTCTGGAGGAACATGCATAGCCCTCAGTTCACATAACAACAGTGTCTAGAGGAACATGCATAGCCCTCAGTTCACGTAACAACAGTGTCTAGAGGAACATGCATAGCCCTCAGTTCACATAACAGCAGTGTCTAGAGGAACATGTATAGCCCTCAGTTCACGTAACAACAGTGTCTAGAGGAACATGCATAGCCCTCAGTTCACGTAACAGCAGCGTCTAGAGGAACATGCATAGCCCTCAGTTCACGTAACAGCAGCGTCTAGAGGAACATGCATAGCCCTCAGTTCACGTAACAACAGTGTCTAGAGGAACATGCATAGCCCTCAGTTCACATAACAGCAGTGTCTAGAGGAACATGCATAGCCCTCAGTTCACATAACAACAGTGTCTAGAGGAACATGCATAGCCCTCAGTTCACATAACAACAGTGTCTAGAGGAACATGCATAGCCCTCAGTTCACGTAACAACAGTGTCTAGAGGAACATGCATAGCCCTCAGTTCACATAACAACAGTGTCTAGAGGAACATGCATAGCCCTCAGTTCACATAACAACAGTGTCTAGAGGAACATGCATAGCCCTCAGTTCACGTAACAGCAGTGTCTAGAGGAACATGTACAGCCCTCAGTTCACGTAACAACAGTGTCTAGAGGAACATGCATAGCCCTCAGTTCACATAACAACAGTGTCTAGAGGAACATACATAGCCCTCAGTTCACATAACAGCAGTGTCTAGAGGAACATGCATAGCCCTCAGTTCACATAACAACAGTGTCTAGAGGAACATGCATAGCCCTCAGTTCACGTAACAACAGTGTCTGGAGGAACATGCATAGCCCTCAGTTCACGTAACAGCAGTGCTAGAGGAACATGCATAGCCCTCAGTTCACGTAACAACAGTGTCTAGAGGAACATGCATAGCCCTCAGTTCACATAACAGCAGTGTCTAGAGGAACATGCATAGCCCTCAGTTCACATAACAACAGTGTCTGGAGGAACATGCATAGCCCTCAGTTCACATAACAACAGTGTCTAGAGGAACATGCATAGCCCTCAGTTCACATAACAGCAGTGTCTAGAGGAACATGCATAGCCCTCAGTTCACGTAACAACAGTGTCTAGAGCAACATGCATAGCCCTCAGTTCACATAACAGCAGTGTCTAGAGGAACATGCATAGCCCTCAGTTCACATAACAACAGTGTCTGGAGGAACATGCATAGCCCTCAGTTCACATAACAACAGTGTCTAGAGGAACATGCATAGCCCTCAGTTCACATAACAACAGTGTCTAGAGGAACATGCATAGCCCTCAGTTCACATAACAGCAGCATCTAGAGGAACATGCATAGCCCTCAGTTCACGTAACAACAGCATCTAGAGGAACATGCATAGCCCTCAGTTCACATAACAGTGTCTAGAGGAACATGCATAGCCCTCAGTTCACATAACAACAGTGTCTAGAGGAACATGCATAGCCCTCAGTTCACATAACAACAGCGTCTAGAGGAACATGCATAGCCCTCAGTTCACGTAACAACAGTGTCTAGAGGAACATGCATAGCCCTCAGTTCACATAACAGCAGTGCTAGAGGAACATGCATAGCCCTCAGTTCACATAACAACAGTGTCTAGAGGAACATGCATAGCCCTCAGTTCACATAACAGCAGTGTCTAGAGGAACATGCATAGCCCTCAGTTCACATAACAACAGTGTCTAGAGGAACATGCATAGCCCTCAGTTCACATAACAACAGTGTCTAGAGGAACATGCATAGCCCTCAGTTCACATAACAGCAGCATCTAGAGGAACATGCATAGCCCTCAGTTCACGTAACAACAGCATCTAGAGGAACATGCATAGCCCTCAGTTCACATAACAGTGTCTAGAGGAACATGCATAGCCCTCAGTTCACATAACAACAGTGTCTAGAGGAACATGCATAGCCCTCAGTTCACATAACAACAGCGTCTAGAGGAACATGCATAGCCCTCAGTTCACGTAACAACAGTGTCTAGAGGAACATGCATAGCCCTCAGTTCACATAATAGCAGTGTCTAGAGGAACATGTATAGCCCTCAGTTCACATAACAACAGTGTCTAGAGGAACATGCATAGCCCTCACTTCACATAACAACAGTGTCTAGAGGAACATGCATAACCCTCAGTTCACATAACAGTGTCTAGAGGAACATGCATAGCCCTCAGTTCACATAACAACAGTGTCTAGAGGAACATGCATAGCCCTCAGTTCACATAACAACAGTGTCTGGAGGAACATGCATAGCCCTCAGTTCACGTAACAGCAGTGCTAGAGGAACATGCATAGCCCTCAGTTCACGTAACAACAGTGTCTAGAGGAACATGCATAGCCCTCAGTTCACATAACAGCAGTGTCTAGAGGAACATGCATAGCCCTCAGTTCACATAACAACAGTGTCTGGAGGAACATGCATAGCCCTCAGTTCACATAACAACAGTGTCTAGAGGAACATGCATAGCCCTCAGTTCACATAACAGCAGCGTCTAGAGGAACATGCATAGCCCTCAGTTCACGTAACAACAGTGTCTAGAGCAACATGCATAGCCCTCAGTTCACATAACAACAGTGTCTAGAGGAACATGCATAGCCCTCAGTTCACATAACAACAGTGTCTAGAGGAACATGCATAGCCCTCAGTTCACATAACAACAGCGTCTAGAGGAACATGCATAGCCCTCAGTTCACGTAACAGCAGTGTCTAGAGGAACACGCATAGCCCTCAGTTCACATAACAGCAGTGTCTAGAGGAACATGTATAGCCCTCAGTTCACGTAACAACAGTGTCTAGAGGAACATGCATAGCCCTCAGTTCACGTAACAAGTGTCTAGAGGAAGGCACCACGGGAGGAGCATCCCTGTGAGTGGAGGAAGGGCCTGGAGCGGTTTGGTCAGCTTGGTCTGTTTTCCTCACCTCTCAGGTTCAGCTTAGGCCTCACCTCCCCTGGGAAGCTTCTCTGACACCCACGCCCACCACAGTCTTGGTTGGGTGCCCTGTCCCCAGATCCTGTGGCTTTTTGTTCACCTGTGGCTTTGCTTAAATGGTACTGAATTGTAATTGCATTGTCAGACTCCTCTCTTCCCCACTGGAATTTGAACTCCAGGGACAGCGCTATTTTCTTCTGTTCCATGTTCCTCATATTCGACACGTAGAAAACAGGTGGTTAGGGCCCAGCGTGGTGGTTTACACCGGTAATCCCAGTACTTTGGGAGGCTGAGACGGGTGGGTCACTTGAGGCCAGGAGTTCAAGACCAGCCTGGCCAACATCATGAAGCCCCGTCTCTATGAAAAATACAAAAGTTAGCCGGGTGTGGTGGTGGGTGCCTGTAATCCCAGCCACGTGGGAGGCTGAGGCAAAAGAATTGTGTGAACCCGGGAGGTGGAGGTTGCAGTGAGCCGAGATCACGCCACTGCACTCCAGCCTGGGCAACAGAGTGAGTGGGACTCCATCTAAAAAAAAAAAGGCACTTAGTAAACAAACAATTATTGAAGAAAACATAACCAGATGGCCTCTCTGAGGATTCTTTCAACTCAAGCATCTCCCTTTGAACAGGGGAAAGCAAGATCACCATTACAGCCCCAGGAGTGTTCAGGGCTGGGGGATGTCCTAGGACAGAGGGTCCAACTGGTGATACATCTGCCCAGAGGGCTTCCTCGCCAGCACAGCTGTCCCCCTCCTGAACGGCTGGGCCCTGCCCACAGTGCCCGCCCAGGAGCATCCTGCGTGCCTGTTTCCCACCCGCCCCTGGGAGGCTTGCTGCCTCCCCGTTGCCCCAGCTGTGCAGACGTGGCCTTGTGCCCAGTCGAGTCAACAGTCAACACTCAGTGAGCCCCACTGGCTGTGCTGCCTGGGGTGTGCCGGGTGCCTCATGTATATCCCTGTCCAGTGGAGGAAGCAGACACGCCCCTTGCTGACCACAGAGTGTGGTACATGTGAGTCACTGGAGAGGCACAGGTGCCGTCCTCTGAGTCACAGAAGAAGCAGTGATTTGTTTTTTGTTTTTTGTTTTTTTTTGAGATGGAGTCTCACTTTGTCACTGTCGCCCAGGCTGGAGTGCAGTGGCACAATCTCGGCTCACTGCAACCTCCACCTCCCGGGTTCAAGCAATTCTTCTACCTCAGCCTCCTGAGTAGCTGGGAATAAAGGCGTCCGCCACCACGCCTGGCTAATTTTTTGTATTTTTAGTAGAGACGGGGTTTCACCGTGTTAGCCAGGCTGGTCTCAAACTCCTGACCTCATGATCCACCCGCCCCGGCCTCCCAAAGTGCTGGGATGACAGGTGTGAGCCACCGTGCTCAGCCTTGTTCTCTTGATAATAATTTTTTAAATTTTCATGTTTTTTCTAATCCCCAATATAATACTGGCTGGTTTTAATGAGAAATGCTCGTAGTACCAGCATGTACAGGGTAAAGCTGGTCGCCACTCACCTCCCGCTGCTGACAGTTTGAGGTGTATTCTTCTGAACTCTTCTTTGCTTATGCTGGTGTGCGCCCGCGTGTCCAATGAGACTAGACTACACGTGCTGTTTTGCAACTTCAGCATTTTACTCCACAGTGGGTCTTTGAGCCCTTTGGATGTATCAGATTCTTTTTCTTTCTTTTTGAGGTAGAGTCTCGCTCTGTCACCCAGGCTGGAGTGCACTGGTGAGATTTGGGCTCACTGGAACTTCCACCTCCCGGGTTCAAGCGATTCTCGTGCCTCAGCCTCCCGAGTAGCTGGGATTACAGGTGCCCGCCACCACGCCCGGTAGTTTTTGCATTTTTAGTAGAGACGGGGTTTCACCACGTTGGCCAGGGTGGTCTCGAACTCCTGACCTCAAACGATCCGCCCACCTCGGCCTCCCAAAGTGCTGGGATTACAGGCGTGAGCCACCGCGCCTGGCAGTATCAGATTCTTTTTAACAACTGCCTCCTGCTCTGTCGCTTGGCTGCATACAAATGTTTTTGGGTGTTTGGATTGTCTCTGATTCTTCGCTCTTAGCAGGCAAGTCAACAGTAAACATCACTGCGCAGGTGCCTCTGCAGTAGGTTCCCTCCAAGTGGGATGGGCAGGGCAGGGTGAGTGTGCGCTTAATTGACAGGCTTTTACCTCTGAAAAAGCTGTGACTGGTGGCATTCCCCCTGCGGTGTGTGAGGGTGACTGTCCCCCACAGTGTCACAACACTGGCTGTGAACATTCTTTACAATTTTGCCAGTCCAGTGGGTTAAAAAGAACAAAACACCATAGAGGTGAATTCTAACTGAGGAGCTTGAGGATGGCCTTGGGAGCTGAGACTTGAAGCATAATGGTGGTTAATAAAAGGGAGGGGGTCCTTTACGAAACAGACAGAAACTTGGAACATTGAGGGAGCAGGCTCTGCCCGCAGAGGATGAATGTCTGGTGAGAGGGGGAGGCTGAGCCGACGGGACCTGGTGGGTTGTCTGCCGGGCAGGGAGGCTGGAACCCTGCCATGGGGGCCTTGGTGCCAGGCTAGCAGGTGGGGCTTCAGGCTGAAAGGTGTCTGAGGTTTCTTTAAGCAGGTGTCTCTGTTGTACCCAGGATTTAATGTGTAGAGGCAGCAGAGTGACAGTACAGAGAGGTTAATACTACTGTAATATTTGTATTATTTAGGGTTCTCAAGAGAAGGAGGCATAGCACCCCGCCCAGGGCCACGTGGAGAGGTGCCAGCTTTGAACAGGAGGCAGGAATGGAAAGAAAGTGTGGCCACA
Organism: Homo sapiens; assembly: GCF_000001405.40. Lineage (NCBI taxonomy): Eukaryota > Metazoa > Chordata > Mammalia > Primates > Hominidae > Homo > Homo sapiens. Next base: position 97,656 of record NT_187664.1, on the reverse strand, counting down.
GCTTTTCTGTGGAGAAACAGGGCAGGGAAAGGGCTTGGCACCAGCTGGCTTCCGTTATGTCGGCAGCCCTGGGCTAGAGGAGTGGTCTCTGGTGACCTGGTCCCTGGCCCTGGGTGACGTGGGGCAGAGGAGATGCTGGCTTGGCGAGTGAGCGTCGGGTAGAGAAGGTGGTTGGGGACATGGGCTCTGGATCAGTGGGTGTGTGTATGAAAGCTGTGCTCATAGGGCATCACTGACAGGCTTAGGAATTAGTGAGCCCTGTGGGGGAGCAGTTTCTCACCCAGCTACCCGCCTCTCCTGCCACAAGATGTCAAAACATCACGAAATACGGAAAATGTAAAGAGCATGTTAACACACAGTGGAGTGTCGTGCTTAGTGCTGCTCGTGAGAAAGGCCCGAGTGTGAGGGGAACCCTCTGTGTCCCCATCTCCTGCAGAAAGCCAACAAAGGCCAGAGCCGGGCCATCGAGCGCCTGAAGAAGAAGATGTTTGAGAATGAGTTCCTGCTGCTGCTCAACTCCCCCACAATCCCGTTCAGGATCCACAATCGGAATGGAAAGGTCAGGATGGGTGGGGGTGGGACCAAGACAGCCCCTTCCTTAGTCCAGAGCAGCCCACTCTGTGGCTCCTGGCCCTGACCTGTATGAACCGGAAACTCAGGCCCCCTCTTCCTGAGGAGGCTGCCATGGCTCCAGCTGTTGACTCGCTCTCCCCTCTCGTGTGGAATGAGTGCCCTCTGCTGGCCGTCCCTGGCACAGCCGCTCCTGTCACCTTGGCTTCCCAGGAAGGAGCTCCCCCTTCACCCACCCACCCCCAGCTGCCTCCTCCTGCAAGGTCAGCTGTGCCTGGATAAGGAGGAGCTTTGGGCCGGGCACAGTGGCTCATGCCTGTCATCCCAGCACTTTGGGAGGCTGAGGCAGGCGAATCACCTGAGGTCAAGAGTTTGAGACCAGCCTGGCCAACATGGCAAAACTCTGTCTCTACTAAAAACACAAAAATTAGCCGGGCGTGGTGGTGGGCACCTGTAATCCCAGCTACTCAGGAGGCTGAGGCAGGAGATTGGCGTGAACCCGGGAGGTGGAGGTTGCAGTGAGCCGAGATTTTGCCATTGCACTCCAGCCTGGGCAACAAGAGCGAGACTCTGTCTCAAAAAAAAAAAAAAAAAAAAAAGATAAAAGGAGCTTTGTTGGGGTCCCCAGGATCTGGGAGTACGCTTTGCCTGACTGTGGTCACCCACTTTATTCTTATCTCCTCTCTTCAGAGTTACCTGTTCCTACTGTCCTCGGACTACGAGAGGTCAGAGTGGAGAGAAGCAATTCAGAAACTACAGAAGAAGGGTAAATTCCTGCCTCTTCCACGCTCCCCAATGATGTCCGTGGCATTGATGGGCCTTTTGTTTTTCTAAGCGTTTCATGTCCAGTATCACGTCTTTGGCCCTCGCAGTCACCCTCAGAGGTGCCAGGGTGAGCGTTTAAGGATGTTACGGATTAATTGAGACCCAAAGAATCTAACTGATTGGCTGAAAGACATGATGATTTAGTCCTGGGACTGGACCCAGAGCCCAGCCTGGGCTTTCTCTCTCTCTCTACCTCTCTCTCTCTCTCACACACACACACACAGAGACACACACACACACATACACAGAGGCTGGGTACGGTGGCTTACGCCTGTAATCCCAGTCAGGAGTTTGAGATCAGCCTGGGCAACGTGGTGAAACCCCGTCTCTACTAAAAACACAAAAATTAGCCAGGTGTGGTGGTGGGCACCTGTAATCCCAGCTACTCAGGAGGCTGAAGCAGGAGAATCCCTTGAACCTGAGAGGCGGAGGTTGCAGTGAGCTGAGATCACAGCACTGCACTCCAGCCTGGGCGACAGAGTGAGACTCCGTTTAAAAAAAAAACGAAAACAAAACGCATACACCACACACACACACACACACACACACACACACACACACACACACCTCTTCAGTTAGATTCTCCTACTCTGACCCCTCTCACAGCATCTACACCAGTCCTGCTGTGTCCACAAATCCTTCCCCCTCCCTCGCAAGGACCAAGTCTGCCCCAGGGATTAAGCCGTCTTCCTGCAGCAGCCCCCAGGGAAGAGCAGCCGGTCCTGGTGGACCAGTGCCCACGCTCCCTTCTCTCTCGGCTCTCCCTCCAGATCTCCAGGCCTTTGTCCTGAGCTCAGTGGAGCTCCAGGTGCTCACAGGATCCTGTTTCAAGCTTAGGACTGTACACAACATTCCTGTCACCAGCAATAAAGACGGTAAGCTCGGGAACCACAGGTGGCCCAACCGGCAGGTCCCAGCCCTCAGAGCGTGGCCGGCTTCCCGTAAGGACTCAGACAGACATGTGGCTGTAAATGGCTGATCCCTGCTCGGCTGTGCTGAGACTGTTGAGTGGCCAGGACACAGCTTGGGTAGGGGTGACTGTCTACTGAGTTCCCAGATGACCCCAGCTTTTCCTTGGGCCCCTCTGTCTGGCTTGGGAGAACTGGCACCCTGGTGCACTGAGATTGTGCTGTTAATATATTCATGAGAGAGCAGACCCGGTAGATAAAATGGTGTATGGGAAATGAGGCTGGAAGTTTCCAGGGACCAGCTCTTGAAAGGCCTTGAATCCCAAGCAAGGGAGTTTGGAATTCATGCTGTAAGCCCGGGAGTCTGGGGGGGTTTTGAGCAGTGGGGAGCTGTGATCAGGGCTGGGAACTGACCGGAGTGGGTGTATTCTAGCTGCCTGTGTGCTGGGAAAGGGTCCACTTTGTGAACGGGGTCCTGAAGGCAAGCTTTCCTCGACATAAATCATTAGCAGAATGATTTATCATATTGGTCAGTTTTCAGTGCCAGGATAGGCAGGATTTGGAGGGAGAGACAGTACCCATGGGGAATGGTACTAAGTCCCTGGGCCAGGATGGTGGGTGTGCTGGACCCCCCCAGGCTGAGTGGAGGAGAGAAGGACCCCCTAGCCCTACCCCGGGCAGCTCACATACAAGGCCGCCGTGGCCTTCGGAAACTTTTTCATCTGGCCACCAGGTGGTGATGTTGGACCAAGACTCAGCTGAGTCTCATACCCCGTCTGCCTCCCGCCGGCCTGGGGTGGAGGCTGAGGGGATCCGCTGACCACCCTCTGCCCTGGGGGCTTTTCTCTCTTGCAGACGATGAGTCTCCAGGACTCTATGGCTTCCTTCATGTCATCGTCCACTCTGCCAAGGGATTTAAGCAATCAGCCAGTAAGTGCCCTGGCCAGGACGAGGTTGGGTGGGCCATTGTGGATTCTGCACTGCTCTGCCCAGGATGGGGCCCTGCCAGCACGCCTTTAGACATGGGGCATTCCCCTGGAGGCCAGAAACCAGCTCCTCTTGGCAGGGAGGTCACCCCTGGCCTTTGTCTCCAAAGTCCTCTTTCTCAAGCCCTCCCTGAAGCTGTCTGAAACCTAGGGGCCGGGCGCGGTGGCTCACGCCTGTAATCCCAGCACTTTGGGAGGCCCAGGCGGGCGGATCACGAGGTCAGGAGTTCGAGACCATCCGGGCCAACATGGTGAAACCCCGTCTCTACTAAAAATACTAAAATTAGCGTGGGCATGGCGGTGGACGCCTGTAGTCCCAGCTACTTGGGAGGCTGAGGCCAGAGAATCCCTTGAACCCGGGAGGCGGAGGTTGCTGTGAGCTGAGATCATGGCATTGCACTCCACCCTGGGCGACAGAGCGAGAATCCGTCTCAAAAAAAAAAAAAAGAAACCGAGTGCGACAAACACATGGACTCCAACTTCATATCTGAGGGCGACAAACACGTGGACTCCAACTTCATATCTGCCCATGACAAGCTGTGTGACCTTGGGCAAGTTTCTTAACCTCTCTGGGCCTCCACTAAAAGGCAGTCACGCTTGTGAATTTTGACCCGAGAGCAGGCTGGGATATGATCGTGTGTGTGCAACGCTGGTGTGCTGCCACGCTCATCGCTTTTTCTCCCCTTCCCCCTTGTGGGTTCCTCATACTAAATCTGTTTTTAGTGTCTCACAAAGTAGGATTGCACTTTTTAATTTTTAAAAAATTTTTTTTTAGAGACAGGTTCTCCCCATGTTGGCCAGGCTGGTCTTGAACTCCTGGGCTCAAGCCATCCTCCCACCTCAGCCTCCCAAAGTGCTGAGATTACAGGCGTGAGCTGCTGCGCCCGGCCTGGTTGCGCTTTTTATCTACCTGTTATCCACACGGGAATCTGTGAGTCAGTTAGACAGCTAATAGTTTCTACCCATTTGCCAGAGGAGGTAACCGAGTCACAGAGAGGAGAAAAGACTTAACATCACAGAGGATCAGAAACCCTGACTCTCTCCCTCTCCACCTGCCCCTCCCACTCCCTGCTCTTCACTGGCAGGTGGGGTCTGCCCTCACCCCTCCCTGCAGCGCCCCACACAGAGGTGACTCCCCGGGCCGTTAGAGCAGCCTTTCCCAGGAAGCCTCCCTGAGTTCCTGGGGGCAAACTGGCCTCCCTTCTTTGTCCCTTCTTTGTGCCCACATCCCCTGAGGTTCCTTGTGCCCCCATCCCCTCAGGTTCCTTGTGACCCCATCCCCTCAGGTTCCTTGTGCCCCCATCCCCTCAGGTTCCTTGTGCCCCCATCCCCTCAGGTTCTTTGTGCCCCCGTCCCCTGAGGTTCCTTGTATCCCCATCCCTTTGAGGTTCCTTGTGCCCCCATCCCCTGAGGTTCCTTGTGCCCCCATCCTGCTCAGGGCAAGCTGGTTATGGCACCTGTCATGCTGTTTTGTCACTTAACAATTTGCGTCTCCCACTGTGAGTTCTCTGAGGGCGGGAACCAGGTCTCCTTTACCCTGGGATGCATGGGAGCTCAGAAATGTGGAATGAAGTCGTTAATTTACACAGCACCTACCGTGCACCTGGAGAAGGTGAGAACATGGCTGGCGTGTGGACGTACTCACATGTGCAAAGCCTGTGGCGTGTTCAGAGCCTCTCAGTCTCACGGTCCGCTCTGAGCCTCCGGCATCCCGCCGAGGTCACGGAAACCATCCCTGTTTTACACACGAGGACGCCGAGGCTCGGAGGGGCTCAAGGTTCCTTCCTGGAGTCACACAGTAGCAGGTGGTGCAGCAGAATCCACGTCTTCCGGCACCAGAGCCGGAGCTCTAACCTTTTGGGCACTTCTCGATGTCTGGCCGGGAACACCACACGGTCCCTCAGGCTGCTTGTTACCGTGGAAGCTTCCTGAACCCTCTCCAGACCCGTAGACCTCCCTTCTTGGGGGCTGCCGCTGAGGAGCTTCTGGCTAGTGAGCTCTGAAGCACTGTCCCACCCATGTCTGGACCAGGCGCCACCACTCCATGTCCCCAGATGCCGCCCCTCCCTCTCCTGCTTCCCGTTGGCCGGGAGGTCCTCGCCTCAGGGAGCCGACCCGTGGCCTCCCAGCCTGGGCGGGTGTCAGAGCCGGCTGAGCTGCTCCAAAATCTCTCTTTACCCCCAGATTATCCTCACTCCCTTCGCCACCGCCACCCCTGACCCACTCATATGTCTGTTCTCACTCAGAGGTGAGGCCCTGTGTCTTCAGCCGTGGTAAACTCAGGACCTCTGGACAGGCAGGCCCAGGGTGTAGGCACCATGACTTTTCCTGCTGTGCAGACAGGAACCTGGGGAGAGAAGGGAGGTGATCTGTGCAGAGCTGGGGTGTGGACCCAGATGGTCTGACTCCGGAACCCTCGCTCTGACCCTGTGAGCCGTCCCCAGCTCCTTCCGGAACCCTCGCTCTGACCCTGTGAGCCCTCCCCCAGCCCCTTCTCGAACCCTCCCTCTGACCCTGTGAACCCTCCCCCAGACCCTTCCGGAACCCTCCCTCTGACCCTGTGAGCCCTCCCCCAGACCCTTCCGGAACCCTCCCTCTGACCCTGTGAGCCCTCCCCCAGCCCCTTCCGGAACCCTCCCTCTGACCCTGTGAACCCTCCCCCAGCCCCTTCCGGAACCCTCCCTCTGACCCTGTGAACCCTCCCCCAGACCCTTCCGGAACCCTCCCTCTGACCCTGTGAGCCCTCCCCCAGACCCTTCCGGAACCCTCCCTCTGACCCTGTGAGCCCTCCCCCAGCCCCTTCCGGAACCCTCCCTCTGACCCTGTGAACCCTCCCCCAGCCCCTTCCGGAACCCTCCCTCTGACCCTGTGAACCCTCCCCCAGCCCCTTCCGGAACCCTCCCTCTGACCCTGTGAGCCCTCCCCCAGCCCCTTCCGGAACCCTCCCTCTGACCCTGTGAGCCCTCCCCAGCCCCTCGAGGAGGGGCTCACACCGAGATCAATCCATGATGACAGCACTTCATGGCCCGTCTCAGACACACAGGCCCACTCCCTGGTCTGGCCCAGGCTGGGGTGCCCAGGGCCTCTGTGTTGTTCACCTGCAAATCCCCAGCCCCGTTCTGTGTGTTCTGAGGCCCACCTGGGTCTTCTTTCTGTTGCTCCAGCTGGAGGCTTCTTGGGGTAGCTGCACTGTCCTTTCTGCAGGAAAGCTGGTTTTTTTGTTTTTTTTTTTTTTGAGAAAGAGTCACTTGGTCGCCCAGGCTGGAGTGCAGTGGTGCCATCTCAGCTCACTGCAACTTCCACACCCCAGGTTCAAGCGATTGTCCTGCCTCAGCCTCCCGAGTAGCTGGGACTACAGGCATGTGCCACCACGCCGGGCTCACTTTTGTATTTTTAGTAGAGATGGGGTTTCACCATGTTGGTCAGGCTGGTCTCAAACTCCTGACCTCAGGTGATCTGCCCACCTTGGCCTCCCAAAGTGCTGGGATTTACAGGCGTGAGCCACCTTGCCCGGCCAGGAAAGCTGTTCTGATGGAGAATGGCCCAGCTGGGCAGCTGCAGGGGCTAAGTGGAGTAAGCCACCTGCACTGTATGCCCGCACTGTGACCTCTGACGTTGTTTCACGCTGCAGAGGGTTGGCCATAGTGTCCCAAAGGCACCTCCCACACCACCTCTGGTACCCTGGGAACAACCTCGGCATCTCCCTGGAGGTGGGAGGACTGCTGGGGTCCGAGCCCAGGGCGGGTGTGGGTTTGCAGAGGGCCTGGGGTCCGTGCCGGTGCTGTGGCCTCAGCAGTTGGGTCCCAAGGTAGATTTTCAGCCTGAAGGCCAGGGTGGAAGATGGAAATGCCGGGGAAAGCCCCCGGCCCTGCCCTCCCGCCCCAGCCCTCCACTGCCTTGTTACCTGGAGCGCTTGGTGGTGGTGGGAGCCTCGTTCACCGTGTGCCAGCTGGGTTCCCAGCCCTGTTCTTGGTACTGCGGGTACACCGGCAGGCAGGAAAACCCAGGCTTCTCTCCACATGGTGTTTACGTCGTGGGGGGAGAGAGACTAGGGACGCACGAGTAGAGAAGATCCCTTTGGTTTATGTTAAGTGCAGCGGAGGAAACCACAGCACCCTGGGCTTGGGGATGTGGGCGTTGTTGGTCGTCACCGCGGCAGGGGATGCTCCGAGCATTCAGGACCCAGAGGCAGGGCTGCTAAACGCCTCCCACCCCAAATGCCGCTGTTGAGGCCTGGGCACCCATGTTACGGGGAGAGGTGGCTCCAGGGCGGTCAGTGAAGAGTTTGTGGTGTCGTCTCCATGGTGAGGAAGATGTGGAGACGGAACAGTCAAGGGCCCTTTAGAGGGAGGAGGAGGCCAGAGTGTGGGGAGGGCCGAGGTGGGAAGGGCAGAGTGTGGGGAGGGCCGAGGTGGGAAGGGCAGAGTGTGGGGAGGGCTGAGGTAGGAAGGGCAGAGTGTGGGGTGAGCCGAGGTGGGGAGGGCTGAGCCCCTAAGAAGGGGGCAGGGGAGAAGCCAGATGGTCCCGGGCTTCAGGGAGGAGAGAGCCAAGATGCCATCCGTGGGGACGTTGGAAAGGACAGATGCGATGTCCCCCTCCATCCTGAGTGCCGCCCCAGCTGCCCCACCCTGGCCCCACTCACTCAGTATCTCCGTCTGTCCTTCCCCCACAGACCTGTACTGTACCCTGGAGGTGGATTCCTTCGGCTATTTTGTCAGCAAAGCCAAAACCAGGGTGTTCCGGGACACAGCGGAGCCCAAGTGGGATGAGGTGAGTGGCAGGGGCTGGCATCTCTGTGGGGACCCCACCACCCCGTGCTCGTGGCTTGTCTGCTGGGGACGGCCAGCCCATTGGTTGGACCAGCTATGTCTGCACCCCCCTTTCTGCTCCCTGCTCCTCTGGCTTCTGATCGCGGTGTGTGTCTGGGTGTCAGACCCTGTGGTGTCAGCTCAGGCCCCCAGACTCCAGGGGTGATGGGAGGCCTCTGGGAGCTCCAGAAAATCTGACGTGTCCTTCGTGGGCCGTGCTTACTCCCTCCTCCTTGCAAAGCTGAGGCACGCACCTGCCGGAAAGCCAGGCCTCCCAGCTTCAGAGGTTCAGGGCCCTTTGTCCCATCTTTCCCCAGGAGTTTGAGATCGAGCTGGAGGGCTCCCAGTCCCTGAGGATCCTGTGCTATGAGAAGTGCTATGACAAGACCAAGGTCAACAAGGACAACAATGAGATCGTGGACAAGATCATGGGCAAAGGACAGATCCAGGTGAGGCCAGGGCGCCGGGGCGAGGCTGAGGGAGCCTCCAGGAGGTGGTTCCAGTTGAAAAGGAATTCTGGTCAAGGAGCCTGCTCTTTCGTGATTTTGGTTCCAAGCTGGTTGGAGGAAAGTTCCCAGGAGGTGGTTCTCCCCTCCCTGCTAGAGGTGGCTGCCTGTTGTGGCCCCGGAAGCCCAGGCGTGTGCGTGGCTCCTCAGGTGGGTCATCTGCGCTTCTGCAAGATGGAAACAACCAGCTTTGTTTTCACACGCCAGCTTTAGTCTATGGGTGGTTGTTTCCCGGAACGCCATGTTGAGAAGGACTCAGAGGCTGCGTCGGTGAACGGGAGGGAGGAATGCTGTGTGTGAGGAGCCGTGTCTGCCATTGACGGGGGACCGGAGTTAGGCACACGGACCAGGCGTTTGCTCTTCTGCCCGAAAGACTTAGGGTCCTGCTGGTTGGCTTGGGGGGAGGGGGGTCTCTGACTTGTTGTTAGGGTGGCCGGACCTTACTCAGCTGCGTTGGGAGTCTGTGGCTTCGGGTGGGGACTCTGGGTGTTAGTAGAGGCTGCACCTCGGGTTAAGGGTATTTATGCTTCTGGGCGCGGTGGCTCACGCCTGTAATCCCAGCACCTTGGGAGGCCGAGGTGGGTGGATCACGAGGTCAGGAGTTCGAGACCAGCCTGGCCAACATGGCGAAACCCCATCTCTACTAAAAATACAAAAATTAGCAGGTCGTGGTGGCGGGCGCCTGTAATCCCAGCTACTCAGTAGGCTGAGGCAGGAGAATCGCTTGAACCCAGGAGGTGGAGGTTGCAGTGAGCTGAGATCGCGCCTGGGTGATGGAGTCAGACCGTGTCTCCAAAAAAATAAAAATAAATAAAAACAGCATTTATGCCTCAACTGTGCTTTTGGCTCCCTATAAACATATATAGGAAAAAGGCCTCTGTGTGTGCAGCCTGTGTCTCTGAAACATTCTGCCAATTTTGAAGATGGCTGCTATTCACCAACCTATTAAGAGAAGTAGGCTTGGGAGCGGGAAAAGGCGTGACGTGGTGGAGCCGCTCACACTCCCGTCTGGTACCTCGTGTGGCCTCGTGCTGTGCCGCAAGTGGTCTGGTTTGGGGGTAGATTCTGTGACCATGAAATGAAGGGAGACGGTAACTGACCCGTACTGAGGTTGAGCCTCGGGCGTTGGGCGTGCTGAGCTTCTTGACAGTGGCCGCAGACGTGATCCAGGCACAGCTGGGCGCCGAGCTTCTTGACCGTGGCCCCGGACGTGATCCAGGCGCAGCTGGGCGCCGAGCTTCTTGACCGTGGCCCCGGACGTGATCCAGGCGCAGCTGGGCGCCGAGCTTCTTGACCGTGGCCCCGGAGGTGATCCAGGCGCAGCTGGGCGCCGAGCTTCTTGACCGTGGCCCCGGACGTGATCCAGGCGCAGCTGGGCGCCGAGCTTCTTGACCGTGGCCCCGGAGGTGATCCAGGCGCAGCTGGGCGCCGAGCTTCTTGACCGTGGCCCAAGAGGTGATCCAGGCGCAGGCTGCGATGGCTCCGTCTACAACAGGGAGCTGAACGATGCTTTTTAGCAGGAAGTATTTGTTCTCTGATGCATTGTCATGGCCACCGAGTTTGGTATCTGGCTCTTACCTGCAGGTCTTACCTGCATTGCCCCTGGGGAGCTGTGTGGGTCTCCCACTCGCTGCCCCATCTCAGGCTCCAGTGTTTGAACCAGGGGCCCCACGTGGAGGGGCCTGGCCTCTGCCGCATACGCCCCGTGTTCCTAAACACGTCTCTTTCCGATGCTGTGGGGCCTGCACCCTGCTTCTCAGTACTCGTCACTAGGGAGACAGGGCTGCCAGGCAACTGCCAGCCAGTCCTTTGTGATTTAGGAAATGGGCTCTAGAGATTCAGTCCCTGGGACCTGCTCTCTGTGGGGATAAGGGGAGGGAGCCCCATCTCCCTGTCCCTGGGCTGGGCTAGAGGGACAGGCACGGAAGGGTTCTGGGCTGGCCTGTGCAGCCCCAGGAGACGCCCAGGCAAGAGACGAGTGGTCGCCACGCCACACTCCCTGGGCCACTGGTGGCTGTGGAATAGAAGAGTTACAAGGATGTGCCGGGCAGCCAGCCCCGTGGGCACGGTGGGCCCCAGCCCCTCGAGAACTCAGCTCCCAAGGCCCGAGGGCACATTCCCCCACCTGGACTTCAGCCCCATTGCTTCCCTCCTTCTCACTCAGCTGCACAAGCCCCGGGGGAAACACACCATCAGTCACTGCAAGCCTCTTGGAGACAGGAGCAGATGGAGGCAGTGGGGGAGGGAGGAAGCCAGGTTATGTTTGGCAAAGGAGAAGGCAGAGTCTGGTAAGGAAAATGTTTCTGTGTTTAAGCTTCGAGGAATGTTAAATGCCTGGGAGTTGATATTAAAAGAAACATAAACCTTCCTGCTGCCAGCTGACCTGGGCCTGTGAGCGGACAGTTCAGAGCCAGAGTCCCCTGGAGGCCTTTGAAGTCCCCCAGCACTCAGCGTGCCAAGGCCCGGCCCTGGCCCTCCGCTGCAGAACCATCTCACCAGCCTGCCTTCGGCGGGGGAGGCATGCCCGAGGGGCGGGCTGTGGCTTAGAAAGTCTCACCCCGTGACTGCCCTCAGAGCCACCGTGGATGGCCAGGCTGGGTGACGAGTCCACACGGAGCTGTTCCCACGAACCCGGGCCCCACGGAGCCACGGAACGGTCTGTCCCCACAGCTTGTCTCTGCCTTCACTCCGGCCACACATCTAAGGAAGGGAGCTGGCACTAGCCTCTGGAATGCAGTCTTTCTGCCCGCCGGCAGGCGCTGAGGACATAGTCGGAGGTGGCTTTGAGATAGGGCCCAGCCCTCGGGGATATTCAGGGGGCCTGTAGGAAAGGTAGGAGGAGGAGGGCAGTCTCTGAGGCCCCCACTTCTCTCTAAGCCCCCTCCCAGCAGCCCATCCAGAGAAAGCAAGGGGCCCTACGGCCTAAGCGCAGGCATTTGCTGCTGTGATGAGGCCCCCACTCTGGGTCGCCTGATGGGGCAGTGGGGCAGGAGTCTCAGCGGCGGGGTGGGGTGGGGGAAGCATTTAGTGACAGACAGACGGCAGCATGCGTCACCAATGTGTGTCCAGCACTTGTGCTCCTGGAGGCCGCTTCCCAAATGCCATCTCCTCGTGTGATCCTTGTCGTGATCCTCCAGGGAGAATGACAGTCCCTCCTCCCCATCTTACAGATGAGGACACTGGGGTACTGAGGTTAAGTACCTTGGCCAAGGCATCTCTGCGTATGGTATGTGGGAAAGGCCATGTTCCCTCCTCTGTGCCATGTCCCCACGTCTCAGGCCTTTGTCAACAAATCCCCCAGCCCGGACAGAGGGCCGTGGCATGGCTAATGGCCTGGAGAAGCAGCTGAGGTGCTGCTTTATGGCATAAGGTGAGCGTCCTTTGTCTTGGAGTCCTCTGGGCAGGGGACACTTGTGCCTGGTGCCCCTGGGAGGAAGGAGAGGAGCACGTGCGGGAAAGAGCAGGAGGCCGAGGTGGGCTGATCACGAGGTCAGGAGTTCGAGACCAGCCTGGCCAACATGGCAAAACCCCTTTCCTACTAAAAATACAAAAATTAGCCAGGCGTGGTGGCACGCGCCCATAATCCCAGCACTTTGGGAGGCCGAGGCGGGCGGATTAGGAGGTCGGGAGTTTGAGACTCGCCTGGCCAACATGGCGAAACCCCGTCTCTACTAGAAATATAAAAATTAGCCAGGGGTGGTCGTGCGTGCCTGTAATCCCAGCACTTCGGGAGGCCAGGGCGGGGGGATCACCTGAGGTCAGGAGTTCGAAACCAGCCTGGTCAACGTGGTGAAACCCTGTGTCTACTAAAAAAACAAAAATTAGCCAGGCGTGATGGTGGGCACCTGTAATCCCAGCTACTTGGGAGGCTGAGGGAGGAGAATCACTTGAACCTGGGAGGTGGAGGTTGTAGTGAGCTGAGATTGCTCCATTGCACTCCAGCCTGGACAAGACAGAATGAGATTCTGTCTGGGGAAAAAAAAGAAAAGAAAACAGCAGGAGGGGTACTTAGCATGCGTCTGTGAGGTCCCCAGCCCAGGAGGGGGTCCTGGCCTCCAGGGACCCACTGTCAGATTGGAAAGACGAGTATATTGGTCCATGTTCTCCAGTGAGAAGAATGCTAGATGTCAGCCACAATAGCCGTACACACATAAGCGAGCCCAGGACGAGCCCAGCACGGTGCTAAATGCTTCCATCTGCTGTCTCAGGAGATCTTCCCAGGACCCTGTGGGAGAGGAATATCATCACAGCTAGAAAGATGAGGAAGCTGGGGCTAAGGAGCCCGGCCAAGGCCATGTGCCCAGGAGTGGGCCAGGGCGGGCAGCTGGCTGCAGAGCCCATTTCTAGATGTCCTGCTGCCTCCTGCTATAAGAAGACGGAAGATTGTCCTGCTGTAAGAAGACGGAAGATTGTCCTGCTGTAAGAAGACGGAAGATTGTCCTGCTGTAAGAAGATGGAAGATTGTCCTGCTATAATAAGATGGAAGATTGTCCCGCAGGAATTCAGAGGCAGAAAGGTCACCATGGGCTGGAATTAGGGAGGCTTCAAGGAGGAGGTGGAACGAGAGCGATTTGGAAGCCCTGGGTTTTTTAATTCCAAAAGCAATGTTTGTATGAGAAAGAAAATTGCAGTAGAAGAAAAGAGACTTGAAACCTAATCAGAAACCATCCTTCCTCCGGCTCCTCCGAAGCAGCCAGTTTATTCTGTGCCTTTTCCCTTCTTGAGGTATACACATTTTTATGTAGATTTAATCAGGGCCTGTTTTGTCTGTTTTTCTGTTTTCATGGATTATTATAAACCTCCTTTTCTCTAGAGCTGTATGGAGTCTTCTTAAGCACCTTTTTGGATACTTTGTTAAAAGTACTTTATATTCTTTGTAGAAATCTTGGTATAGAGCGGCCAGCGCAATTGCTATGCTAAGGCTCTGTGTTATTCCAGCAAGGTGCGCAGGCTCCGCTTCCGCAGAAGGGAGTAGGGTGGGAGTTCTGGAGGACAGACCCGCCTGGCAGGGAGGCACGAATGTGAAGGGAGGGTCCCAGGAAAGTCAGGAGCCTCAGCAGGGGTGGCGGGGAGCTGCAAGCAAGGCCAGTAGAAGGAATGAATAAAAGGAGGGGATTCCTGGGGGTTTGGCCGGAAGAGGTATTTTTTTTTTTTTTGAGATGGGGTCTTGCTGTGCTGCCCAGGCTGGAGTGCAATGGCGCAATCTCGGCTCACTGCAACCTCTGCCTCCCAGGTTCACGCCATTCTCCTGTCCCAGCCTCCCGAGTAGCTGGGATTACAGGCGCCCACCACCATGCCCAGCTGATTTTTATTAGTAGTAGTAGAGACAGGGTTTCACCATGTTGACCAGGCTGGTCTCAAACTCCTGAGCTCAGGTGATCTGTCCACCTCAGCCTCCCAAAGTGCTGGGATTACAGGCCTGAGCCACGGCACCCGGCCTGGAATAAATCTTAGAGGGCGTTTAATCCAATCCTGTTTTCCGGAGAGAAGGAAATGGACACCAGCAAGGGTGAGCGAGGCAGCCGCGGTCACAGAGCTTGTTAGTGGGTGAACAAGGGCCCCAGACTCAGGGACCCCATCCAGGTCCGCTTAGCTGGGAGCCCCCCCTCCACCGGCTCTTGCCCCTGCCCCCGGCGTAGTCTGCCCTGGCTCCTGGTCCCAGGGGACTCCACTGTGTTTATCCTACTCTATTTCCAGCCTTGCCGCTCCAGCTGCAACCTACCCGCTAGCTGATTAGCATATTCCCAGGGTCCGGCCCTTCTTGGCGGGCTGGGCCTGAGGAGAGCGCTTTCCCTTGGGGCCCCACAGCTCAGTTTCTGCCAGCGTCCCCAGACTGGAGAAGGGCCTGAGACCAAGAAGCTACTTAAACCTGAGGGGCCCTCTGCACCCCCTGCCCGCCCCCCGGCCCTGCGTCATTCCCTCGCTCACCGCAGGCTGGGGACAGCCCCCACCCCACAGTCCACCTCTGCTCCCTGTGCCTGGGAGGCAGCTCCACTTCCCCACGTGCCTGCCAGGGCAGCCCCTCCCTGGGCACAGCAGCGCTGAAGACCCTGTGGTGGGAGGGGCAGGTTCCAGGCCAGGAAGGGAGTGTGAGCCACCGCGTCCGGCCTTTATTCTTTTTAAAGAAAAAATAGTGGTAGAAGCCAGGCATAGTAGCTCACGTGGTGTAGCTGTGGACTACTTGGGAGGCTAAGGAGGCTAGAGTGAGTTAAGGATTGCGCTACTGTACTCCAGCCTGGGTGACAGAGCAAGAGTCTATCTCCACTGAAAAAAATAAAAAATAAAAGATTGTAGTGAAATATACATAACATAAAGTTACCATTTTAATAAATTTTAGGGGCCGGGCGCGGTGGCTCACGCCTGTAATCCCAGCACTTTGGGAGGCCGAGGTAGATGGATCACCTGAGGTCAGGAGTTCAAGACCAGCCTGGCCAACATGGTGAGACCCCATCTCTACAAAGATTAAAAAAAATTAGCCGGGCGTGGTGGTGCACGCCTGTAGTCCCAGCTATTCGGGACACTGAGGCTGGAGAATTGCTTGAACCTGGGAGGCAGAGGTTGCAGTGAGCCAAGATCATGCCACTGCACTCCAGCCTGGGCAATAGAGTGAGACTCCATCTCAAAAAATAATAATTTTTGGGTGCACAGCTCCGTGGCCATAGGTGGATTTGGTGCTGTGCAGCCGTTGCCAGTGTGCATATCCAGAACTTGTTGGCCCTCCCCAGCCGAAACCCCATCCCCATTAAATCATAACTCCCCACTCCTGCACCCTTAGCCTCCAGTAACCACCTGCCTGCTTTCTGTCTGTACGAATTTGTCCAGTCTGGGAACCTTACGTAGGTGGAATCAGACAGCATTTGTCCTCCTCATGTCCTTGAGCTTCACCCATATGCCGTTGTGTGTCTGAATTTCCTCCCTTTCTGAGGCTGGATACAATTTCCCTGGATGTAGATGCCACGTCTCTTTATCTGCCCGTCCGTCCGTGGATGTAGGTGCCACGTCTGTTTATCCGTCTGTGGATATAGGTGCCACATCTGTTTATCCATCCATCCGTCCGTGAATGTAGGTGCCATGTCTGTTTATCCATCCATCCATCCGTGGATGTAGGTGCCACGTCTATTTATCCATCCATCTGTGGATGTAGGTGCCACGTCTGTTTGTCCTTCTGTCTGTCCGTGGATGTAGGTGCCACGTCTCTTCGTCCATCCATCCGTCTGTGGACGTAGGTGCCATGTCTGTTTACCCATCCATCCGTCCATGGATGTAGGTGCCACATCTGTTTATCCATCCGTCCGTGGATGTAGGTGCCATATCTGTTTGTCCACCCACCCGTGGATGTAGCTGCCACGTCTGTTTATCCGCCTGTCCATCTGTGGATGTAGCTGCCATGTCTATTTATCCATCCGTCCGTGGATGTAGGTGCCACGTCTGTTTATCCATCCGTTCGTGGATGTAGGTGCCACGTCTGTTTATTCATCCGTTCGTGGATGTAGCTGCCACGTCTGTTTATCCATCCGTCCGCGGATGTAGGTGCCACGTCTGTTTATCCATCCATTCATGGATGTAGGTGCCATGTCTGTTTATCCGTCCGTCCGTGGATGTAGGTGCCATGTCTGTTTATCCGTCTGTCCGTCCGTCCATCCGTGCACATTTGGGTTGTTTCCACCCAAAACGCTCTTGCCTTTCGTTGAGAAAAAGAACCTTGTCCCTGAGGATGGAGACAGCACAGCCTCCTTCTCTCCAGACCCAAGCTCTGTCCCCCACCTGCCTCCCAGCTGTAATAGATGAGCAGGACCCGTGACCCTAGGGCATGACTGGTCACTATTAGTCTCCTGTAGTTGAAGCACACAGTTGGGCCCCCTGCCTCGGCCTTCTCTCCCCCTCCCGGCCAAGTGTCCCTGCCCCTTGACCCCTTCACCCTTCTTCCTGGGTCAGCTCTTTCCTCCCCTGGTCAGTGGTTTAGGTGCATCGAATGCAGACGCAGTCGCCCTGAGGCCGCGGGAACAACCTCTGGTCCCTTGACTTCTTGGCATCTCAGTTTCTTCTTTTATTTATTTACTTATTTATATTTATTTGAGATGGAGTCTCTCTCTGTCGCCCAGGCTGAGTGTAATGGCGCAGTCTTGGCTCACTGCAACCTCCGTCTCCCGGGTTCAAGTGATTCTCCTGTCTCAGTCTCCTGGTTAGCTGGGATTAAAGGCGCCCGCCACCATGCCCAGCTAATTTTCGTATTTTTAGTAGAGACGGGGTTTTGCCATGTTGGCCAGGCTGGTCTCGAACTCCTGACCTTGTGATCCACCCGCCTCAGCCTCCCAAAGTGCTGGGATGACAGGCGTGAGCCACCGCACCCGGCCAAGTTTCTTTATTGATTCAGTGGGGGTAACTATTCCTACCCCACCTTCAGCACTGGCTTAAAGGATCTCACATACCTGGAAGAGCCAGTCGGTGCTGTGACGTGTGCGTCCACGCTTTCACCTGTTCACTCACTTGTTTCTGTTTACGATACATCCTCTGAATGGCAGGCCCTGGGCTGTGGGTACAAAGAATGACCAGGACCTCACCGTCTGGTAAAGAAAACAAGAGAACTTAGGCCAGGCACGGTGGTTCATGCCTGTAATCCCAGCACTTTAGGAGGCCGAGGCGGGCGGATCATGAGGTCAGGAGTTCGAGACCAGCCTGGCCAACATGGTGAAACGCCGTCTCTACTAAAAATAGAAAAATCAGCCGGGCGTGATGGTGCGCTCCTGTAATCCCAGCTACTCGGGAGGCTGAGGCAGGAGAATGGTGTGAACCAGGACCCAGGAGGTGGAGGTTGCGGTGAGCCGAGATTGCGCCATTACACTCCAGCCTGGGCTACAGAGCGAGACTCTGTCTCAAAAAAAGGAAAACGAGAACTTGGATCGTTAGCCAGTGTTGCCGGGGTTTTGAGGCCAGACAGATCTTGCGGGGCTGAGTCTAGCTTTCTCCATCGTTAGTTGGGAGAACAGAGCGAGTATCTTTGCCTCTGAGCCTCAGCTTCCTGACCTGTCAGATGGGCTGTAAGAGGACTGAATGTGAGGGTCCATGAAACCCTGGACCCGGGGCCTGGCATGGAGTCAGTACGTGGTTTGCCCTAAGCTGGCGGGTTCAGGCACCCTGTCCCCCACCCCCTTCCAGTGGTTCTGGGTGTCACTTGTCCAGCAGCCCCCTCCTAAAGGCTGTCACCTATAAGTGGTCCCCTGGGTCGGGGCCTTTGGCTGGCCGAGGCAGCATTATTTTCTTAAGCTGATGGGGTCAGACTGGCTTTGCTGAACCAACCTCATAGCAGGGGCGGGGAAGTCAAGGCTGGGGCCCTCAATGCCGGCTGGCCCGAGGTTTCCCTGCCATGACCCAGCACGGCAGCTCTGAGCTTGGCCTGGTGTGGTCGGAAACAAGGGGCCTTTGTCAGCGGCTGGGGAGCAGCTTCTGGTTTCAATTACTCTGGAGAGCACGAGGAAGCTTGCAGAGAACGTGGGGCCGGAGCCCGCCAGGGCAGGAGTCAAGGGCTCCCCTGCCCCACTTCCCTCCCTCTGACCCCCAAGGGGTGTCTTGTCCCCATTCGACCCTGCCTGAGGGTCCTGCGCGTGCGTCCTGGGGGCCCTGGGTTGTGAGCCCAGAGCCCCTTCCAGCTCCGGCCCCCTCTCGTTCTTCATGGTGGTACTGGGACCCCTCCCAGGAAGATGATCGACGGCCGGTAACGTGGGTCCTCAGTGCTTCCCCGTTCCAGGCCTCACGCGTGGGCCACACTGACCACAGCCGGGCCCCTGGCCCTGAGGGAGGCCTTGATTCAACTGGGAAGGAACACAGGCCTTTCCCTTTGGTTCCATCTCTCCCGTCCCCAACCCCTGCCCTGGCACTCACAGCCCCCATAGCTCCCTGTCGTGGGACACCGGAGTGACCTCTCCCTGGAAGATCAGCCCGCGTCGGCGCCCGCCAAGGCCAGGAGTGCATGTCAGGCCCCGCCTCGGCTCCTGGCTTAGGAGTTCCGCCTCCCTGCTGCTTGCCACCCTCACAGCTGGCCCACGTGGGGCTCTTCCCTCTGCCGCCACCCCCACCCCTGTGCCAGTTCCCCAGGCACATAGGGACCGTGGAGGCTGAGCCCCAGGCCTGGTTCTACTTCCTGCTGACTCTCCACTTCCTCCCAGGGCCCCGTGACTGCAGCCATTGTCCTGCTCTGGCCCTGCCCACCCCAGCTGTTTCGGGCACATTTGTTCTCCAGCCCAGACTCCCACCTGCTGTCCCTCTTCAAGGCAGGTCTAGACGCCTGGTTCTCCTTGGAGAGTGGGCAGCAGAGCCTGTCCTGGGTGGGGGAAGTCGGGGGAGGGTCCCTCGAGAGTGCCTGCCCTGCCGTCGAAAGCTTTTCCAAACGTGGGGCACGAACCTCTCTCGTCAGCCCTGCTCAGCTGCCTCCATCGCCCAGGTGTTCCTGATTTTGGGAGCCTGGACTCTGCCCAGTGGATTCTGGGCAGGAAGCATCCAGCAGGAAGCAGATGGAGGTGTGAGTCGGCTCCCCCCGCTCCCCTCCACCCCTGGGAAGTGCCGCCTCAGCAGGCAGGCTTGGCGCCCGCTCCCCCTGACCCGCCTCTGAAGGGTGGGCACCATGCAGAGAAGCCGGTCCAGACAGGACCTCAGGAGCCGATGCAGTCAGGCCCTGAGAACATCCAGCCTCCCGACAGACCAAAAAAAGGTGTTCTCAGCTCTGGGTGCCGGGCTCCCAGACTCAGAGGCACGGGACCTGGGTTTGATCTTAGCCGGCCAACCTCGGGTGACCCTTCAGAGAGTGTCCTCTCGGGTCCGTGGCATTCAGCGAACTCGCCGAGGTGAAAGCCGCAGACAGAGATTCCTCCCCGTGAGCCGCTAACCTCCCTGCTGGCGGAGGCTGCTGCTTCCTCCTAGGAATCCAAAGGATCAGCTCCAGGGTTGTCCCACTTTCCGTGTTTTCTGAAAGCTTCAAGAGAAGGATGCCACAGAAGGGTTGCCAGAGAATTTCTTGAGTTAGGGCTGAGGCTGCAGATGAATGCTGAGCGGGGGTCACCTTTAGGGTGGGCTCTGCTGGCCTCCCTCAAGCCTGCGGCCACCGCAGACTCACAGCAGCCCCTCGTGGCCAGCCCCGCCCTTGCCGTGGCCTGGGGGCGTGGACATTGGTGGTGCTGGGCGAGGGTCTAAGCCCCAGTGTAGCCTGTAGCTTTGGGCTGGGGCAGGGAGGGATGGGCACACCGTGTTCACGCCCTCGGAGGCAAGTGCTGAGCTGCCCTGGCTTCAGGAAAGACCCTAGCGCGGCTGGAGACGCAAGATGACCCAGACACACCCGCCTGACCCACTAGACAGGTGCTGTCCCCTCTCGAGGCTGCCAGGGCGAACCCACAGCCACTGAGCAAAAGCCCTGAGTTTCCCAAAGGAGGGAGAGAAGCAGAGACACGACTGGAGCTGCAGGTTCAGCGTCTGACCCAGAGGTGTCCTTACAAAGCCCCTAATCTCTCAGACCCCCACGTCCCCCACCCCGAGGGAGAGCGAGGCCTTCGGGAGAACTGCCTCTAGGAGCTGCTGGGAACCTAAGGTTTGAGCTGTAGATGCCTGAAAGGAGGGCGGTGCGCTGAGGTGTGCCTCAGATTCTGCCTGTGGGGCGTGGGAATTCCGGGGAGGGACGTGAGCCCCAAGGCAGGCGAGGGGTGGTGGAAAAGCAGGTGTGAGCCAGTGGGCCCCACGTCCCCTCTTCAGCCAGGGCGCCTGCTCTCTCTGCTTCTGCTTTTATCCGACGAGGTGGGCAGGGAGACGTCGGCATAAAATTTCATTTGGAAAAAACGGCAGGGGTGCATCCTCAGCAGAAAAGAAATCTCACCGGAGACCATGTGTCTGTTCCGAGCTCCTGATTTGACAGCTGTGGAAACTGAACCCAGAGAAAAACACAGCCGTTGAGTCCACAGGTCCCTGGCTCCCAGGGCTTTGCTTCTGGCCACCGTGAGCTCGGAGCTTGGGTGGAAGGGAGGTGTTCGGGAATCCAGAATGAAGAAAGAGCAGGGAGGCTCGGCGACCCCATCCCACCTTCAGGCCTCAGCCCCTCCTGCCTCAGGCTGCAATTTATGGCTGTGCTGGGAGACCCGGCCACACCCCCTCCTTCCCGGGAGGAGGAGCAGGCAAGCAGCCCAGGGGGGCTCCAGCGGTAGGGACAGCATACTGAGGGGCCACGCCCTGCCCACTCTGTCCCTGGGTGAGTTTTGTTCTAGATAAGCAAGATGTTCCCAAAGGCTCAAGTGCATTTTTCACCCTTTTCCATGACCAAATGTGCTGTGAGAATCGCTAGGGTTTGCCAGGGACGGGCTGTCGGGACACTTCTCCTGCAGCAGACAAGCTCTTGGGCTGTTTCAGCCTCTCCTCCGTACCTAGAACCACCGAGCACCCTGGCGACACCAGCCTGACGTGGCCAGAGAGAGGCTGGAGGTCAGGCAGAGGGAGGCTGGAGCTGTGTGAGAAGCAGCACGTACTCGGGACTGCCCTATGAGCCGGCACAGGCCTTTGGGGAGTTGGGAGGACAGCAGGTTACCTTGGGCAGGCCTAGGTCTGGGCCGTAGAGCAACTGATTTCATCCTGACTGCCTTCTTCCTTACACTGTGCCCATCTTCAACCTTGAGCCCACCCTGGACCCCTCTCCCAGCCCCACCTGGATGGATGGGTGGGTGGGTGGATGGATGGATGGATGGATGGAAGGATGGGTGGGTGGGTGGATGGATGGGTGGATGGATGGATGGATGGGTGGATGGATGGAAGGAAGGAAGGATGGAAGGAAGGAAGGATGGAAGGAAGGAAAGAAAGAAACAAACATAGCTCCTAGGGTCTAATCTGCCATTGGCTGCTGGGTGACTCCTGTCCCCAGGCTGAATGCAGGCTCTGAACATTGCAAATACCCAGAGGTATCCGATGGGTGGGGAGAAAAACCTAGAGTGAGTCTCAGTGTCTCATTCTGGGAAGACATTTGGCCTTCCAGTCCGCAGGTTTTGGTTAGGGTCGGTACAGGAAATGGTCAGAACACACAGTAAGAATGCAGTGACCACAGAGCCACCGAGTTGGGGGACACTCCCGTCCCCACTCCCCCACAGCTGTCCCCGGAACGTGCCATCCTCCCGCCCAACTCGCACGCCCTGTGTGGGCGCTGGGCACCCCGGGCTCCCATGCTCGGCCTGCTTGTCTCTCTCTCATCCTGGAGCCTGCACCTGTCTTTGGGCAGGAGCCACTGGCAGGCTCTCTGCAGCCCCCAAAGCCTCGGGTCCGCCCTGCTCTCCTCCAGCACCTTCTTGCCCCCCAGCCTCGGGTCCGCCCTGCTCTCCTCCAGCACCTTCTTGTCCCCCAGCTCTGGTCCTCTGATGCCCAGCCGGTGCCCTGATCCTCTGGTGCTGAGAGAGGGAGTGTTCTTGGCAGACCTGAGCCACATCCCCTCGGTCCCCATCCTCAGCTGGGTGCCAGGCTCCTCCTGGGCTCTGGACTCTCTGGGCGGCCTCTTGGGGCTCTCCCCGCCCCAACTGGCTCCCAGGCTATCCCCACTGGGGCGCCTGTGGCCTTGGTCTAGCTGGCTGCTCAGAAACCCCCTCTCCTGGAGTCATTTGCGCTAGCGGATAGGACGAGGAATCGGGGTTCAAGTGTGGGCTGGGGGAGAGGAGCGTCGTTCTGGTGGGAAAAAGGAGGTCACTCCAGGAAAGCGGCAGCTGCATTTCTAGGTTCTGAGGCAGAACCTTCCTCCTGGTGCTCACAGGCTGGAGGATTTGCCTGGAAGCCGTCCCCACCCCCAGCTGTCACCGAGGCAGCCCCACTGCAGCCTTTGCCCCTCCCGCTCGCACAGGGCAGGATGTGACCTTTTTTCCTCGTTGATGCCGCCACTGAACACCTTAACCCGATTTTACCTCAGTCACAGCTGTGCTGGGTGGCATGACCCCCTCCCTAGGTGTAATGCGGGGTCCCACCCACGTCTCCCCGGGGACAGCCCCTCTCACTCCCCTTGCAGAGAGCCTGGGGAGGGGCTGAGGGAGGATGGGATGGTCCACTAGGAATGTTTTTAATTCCAAAGGCAGTGACATCTGTTCGTGGGGGCCTTACCACCAGGCTCTGTTTATCCAGCCGGGGGAGTCTTGCAGGTCGTCTGAGGAGGGCTCTGGCAGGTGTGGGGGATGGAAGGGGTGGGGGGAGCAGGTGTGGGGGATGGAAGGGGTGGGGGGAGCAGGTGTGGGGGATGGAAGGGGTGGGGGGAGCAGGTGGGGGTAGAAAGGGTGGGGGGAGCAGGTGTGGGGGATGGAAGGGGTGGGGGGAGCAGGTGTGGGGGATGGAAGGGGTGGGGGAACAGGTGTGGGGGATGGAAGGGGTGGGGGGAGCAGGTGTAGGGGATGGAAGGGGTGGGGGAGCAGGTGTGGGGGATGGAAGGGGTGGGGGAGCAGGTGTAGGGGGTGGAAGGGGTGGGGGGGAGCAGGTTTAGGGGATGGAAGGAGTGAGGGAGGAAGGAGAGTGGCCCCTTCCCAGGTGGTTGGGATAGCCTGAGCTGAACCCAGCAGAGATGAGGAGGGGTCCGTGGTGGGCTGCAGCGACTAGAATTCAGACTTCTGCTTTTGCTGGGGACATCTGTCTTGCACAGATCTTCTTCCACCCAAGACCATTGACTCCAGGAAGCAATGAGTCGGGCTTGGGGGAGAGAAGGCAAGTCTGCGCTGTCCCCAGAGGAAGCCCCCAGTCCATAGGGAGGAAGGGAAAGATGAGCGTCTCAGGGGAAGACTCCCAACTCGGCTACCCATCTGCGAAGGCACTTATGTCACCATGGAGACCAGCTGGCCATCGTTCATCCAGTCCGAGCTTGCTTTACCTAGACAAGTATTGAGCCTGTGGTACCTAAGACAGATGAGTGCCGGGCCTTGGGAACGGGATTCACACGGCCCCCTTCTCCCCCACACCCGGCGGCAGGGAGGGGCGTGCATTCTCGCAGTCTGCACCCTGTGGCCTGGGACCCAGCCCGAGGGAAGGGGACCATAGGCCAGTGAGGGGCCGATTCTGAAGTTAAGTCACGGCACCAGGAGCACTGTGGCGCAAACGTGGAGAGCAGTTATAATGGCATCCTACCAGCCAGTTACATGACAGCCATTGCACGTTTGCTGGAGGGAGGTAGAGTAAAGCTGGGACCCAGTGAGGGTGGATGGCCTTTCCCTACAGCCCCGAGGGCCCCACGCTGACCCCTCTCCTCCAGGAAGCCTTCCCCAGTTGCCTCCAGCTGGAAATTGTATCTCTCGATGTTCGTGGCATTTTGTCTGTCCTGTTCTGAGGCCGTAATATGGGATTTTGTGCGGGTTTTGTCCATCTGGGCGTGGTGCCTAGTAGGTGCACAAGTGACCCGTGCCAAATGCACAAATGCTTGTCTGCCTCCTGTTGATGGACATCTCTGCTTTCTTGGCTGCCCCTTTGTCAAGCACTGACTTTTGATTCGTCTCTGTGATGCCTTAACCCCCACCCCAGGGTCGGGCACGCAGCCAGGCCCTCAGTCACTACCTCTAGAGTGACATGAGTGGGGCCAGGTGCAGTGGTTCATGCCTGTAAACCCAGCACTGTGGGAGGCTGAGGTCAGGAGTTTGAGACCAGCCTGGCCAGCATGGTGAAACCTCGTCTCTGCGAAAAATACAAAAATTAGCCGGGCGTGGTGGTGGGTGTGTGTAGTCCCATCTACTCAAGGGGCTGAGGCAGGAGAGTTGCTTGAGCTGGGGAGGCGGAGGCTGCAGTGAGCCAAGATTGCACCACTGCACTCCAGCCTGGGCAACAGAGCAAGACACTGCCTCAAAAAAAAAAAAAAAAAAATGACATGAGTGGGACCAAGCAGTGGGGCCTGAGGAGTGAGCAGAGCCTTCCTGGAGGAGATGGCTTTGTGGCTGTGTGAAGGGGCTGTCTGGGTCCTCCTGGAGCCCTGGAAGGGGCAGGCGAAGGAGGGGTGGAGAAGGGTGACTGAGGCCTCAGTTAGGGGACACAGGCATGTTCCTACCTCCGTCCGTCTCTCCACCTCCCCCTCAGGCGGTGCTGGTGAGGCTGTTGTGGCTCAGCCCCCACTTAGCAGCTCAGGTTTGAGGAAGTTCCGTGTGCACCGTCCAGGGGTGCGTGTGACGTGTGAGCCAGGAAGAAGTGGAGCTGGTCTGGCCGCCCCTGCAGGGACAGTGAAGACTGAGGCCCGGTTCTAGCCCAGGCAGGACGCCCCAAGGCCCCCCTCCACCAGCCAGGTGGAAGATAGTCCAGGGCCAGATCCTGCCACACTAGGGCATCACAGTGAGTGACAGGGGTGTGGGCTTTGGAGTTAGCCAGACCTCCGTTTGTGTTCCAGCTTGTCCTGGCCTTGGACACGTAGCTCAGCTTGTCAGAGCCCTTCGTTTCCTCAGAGGTAAAGCGGGGATGCTGGTACTGACTTCATACAGTTGGGAGGGGTAAGTGACTTAATCCATGATGCCTGGTCCCTGCCAGCCTTCCACGAAGGACAGCTCTGACTACGGCTGTCTCTGCAGGGAAGCCACCTATTCCTCAAAAACACCAAGGCCTCTGAGGAGAAATCCCGACACCTGCCTGGCTGGTGACGCCGGATGCCGAGGGCTCGTCTCTGGGCCCCGACCCACCTGCCTTGGGGTCAACCAAGAAATGTCCTGACCCAGCTCTTTTTCCTGAATCCAAAGCATCATCCATGTTTGAGTAAGGCACAGTGCTTGTGAGCACCAAGGGCTTTGGAGGGACCTCCCCATCCTCACTTGGCACTGTGTAACCCTGGCAAGAACTGGACCTCCTGACCCCCTGTCCTCACCTCTCTAGAACAGGGCAGTAACACCAACATGACAAGAATGTGAGGCTCACATGCAGTCGGGCGTTTGAAAGACCTGGTTCGCGGTTGCCACGGTGCAAATACTGGTTTCCTTTCTGTGCCGTGCTGGGGTCTGCAGAGGTCCGAGGCCCCAGACACCCCTGGGTTTTGCATAGTTAAACATTTGGGATTCAGCCTTTCTCTTTTCTCTGAATACCGTACTCTAACTTGCACTGTTACCTTGAGACGTAATTTGTGTCCTAGTCTCTGCGGTTAGAAAGTTCACTAAATAAATTGAAGGTCAAGAACAAGTTCTTCTCTCTCTCAAGGCGCCCAGCACGGACACGGGTGGTTGCCCGTGGCGTCCTCTGCGCCCAGCACGGACGCGGGTGGTTGCCCGTGGCGTCCTCTGCGCCCAGCACGGACGCGGGTGGTTGCCCGTGGCGTCCTCTGCCCCTGGCAGCGGAAACCTTTTTTGGTGAGGTGCAAAGGGCCATGGTTCAAAGTGACCCCTCAAGAGGCATCTCTGGCTGGACGTGTGACCCGCGTCGTTTCGGGCTTTTGCTCCTGTCCCTGAGCAGATCAGTGACCCGATTCCCACTGGGATTCCCACACTAGGGGTCTCCTTTATCCTTACATTTCTCACCTGAGGAGGCTTCTGAGTGCCGGTCCACAAGGGTCTGGCCGGGTCACCAAGCTGGCTCTGAGGAAGGTGCCTGGGGCAGAAGTTGGGGGTGGGGAAGTGCGACCCCAGGGCAGTCAGAGTCTTTTGCCCGGGGAGGAGGGCAGCTGTTTGTGGCCAAAATGCAGCCCCCGCCTGGCCCCCGGCCCCTCCGCTTGGCCCCTGGAGCAGCCCGGTGGGCAACACGGGGACCCAGCAGGGAGGGACTGGGGTGTGGGGCTGGTGTAAACTTTATTGCGAGGGAGGGCGGCGGGGTCGGGGAGGAGCAGCGCCCTTGCCAGGGATGAAACCCGGGGTTGGGGCTTGGAGGGGCGGCCCTGGGCCTGGGAGGCGGCGCTCAGCCTGGGCTGCAGCCTCGCGGAGGGCGGGGAAGGAGGGATGCGGAGGAGGGAGGAGGGAGGAGGGACGCGGACGGAGGGAGGGAGGGAGGGGAGCGCGGGGAGGGAGGGAGGGAGGGAGGCGAGCGCGGGGAAAGCCGGCGGGACTAGGGAACTAGCGGGACTGGCAGCCGGGACTGAGCGCTCCACAGGCGCCTTCTCTCCAGCGCCGCGTCCCGTCCCCCCCGGCATGACCGACGTCCTGCCCCAGCCCGACTGCAGCCCGAAGGCGGGGCGCGAACCCCTGGCGCTGGAGGAGTCGGGGAGCAAGCGCCCCCCCAACACCGGCGCCCGGCTCTGGGGCCGCGTGCGCAACAAGCTGCTCCGAAACAAGGTGCCCGCGGGGGCTGGAGGTTCCGGGGGGTGGGGGCTCGGGGGCGCTGCGGGGCTCGGGGGGCTGCGGGGGCTGCGGGGGCTGATGGGGTCCCGCTCCCGCCCCCTCCGTGGAGTCCCGGGACAGAGCTGGGGTCTGTGCGCGTCCCTCTAAGTGGCTTGAACTTGATGGCGAACGCTGGGGCCGCCCCCACCCGGACCCTGGCGCTCGGGCATCTGCCCCTGCCTCGGGAGAAGGGAGGTTTCTTCTCGGCAGGTGGACCCTGCTTTCCACTCCGGGAGTGCAAACAGCGCACGGGGAGACGCCTGCCTCTGGGTCTATGTCTTGCCGCCCTGTTCAGCCTCTACCTGATCCCTGCATCCAGCGGGCCTTGCTGGCTGCCCCTTTGCTGAGGGGCGCCGACCGCAGCACCGTCTGCCGTGTGAGGTTTCTCTGTGCAGGATTGTGGGGAGGGGAGATGCTGCCGGGTCTGGGGGCTCGAGGCTTCCCTTCAGGGACCACCCATCTGACTGTGGGCCCAGTGCCCGCCGGGCACCAGGCGTTCCGTCCATGTGCCAGGGCAGACCGCCGGTGCCCCTGCAGCCCCAGACCTGAGTTGGGATTAAAATCTGAGATAGAAGCCGACTGTCCTGCAGCTGGGCAGGCTGCCTCGGGGCTGGCTTGGGGCCCTGGCATCAGGCACGTGAGGAAGAGCCAGACCCAGCGCCCAGCGCACAGGAAGTGCTCGATAACTCTGCAGATCAAATCAACTGTCCGAGTTAGCTGTCTCAGAGTGCCAGTCCGGCTGGCCAGGGCTGGGCCCATCCATCAAGAGAGCAACAAGGGAGGCCTTGGCCAGTCCGTGGTGGGGATCTGCAGCTCCTCCTGAGGCTCACAGGACCTCTCTGCAGGCTCTTACTGCCAGCCGGCATTGAGGCTCCTGGCATCAGCCAGGACGAAGTGATCTTGGGCTCACTGGCCCCTCGTTTTGTTTCAGCTCCTGCCATGGGGCATACTTGACCTCCCAGAGGTGACATCAGCCCTGGAAAGTGCTGGGCAGGGCAGCAACTTGAGCTGTACTGCACTGGCCCCTGTGTCACCTTCAGCCTCCCTGGGGACTGGGCTAGCAGAGCCCTGCTGGCCCCAGCTGCTGCCAGAGCCCCTCTGTGCTGAGGCAGCTGTCTGTGCCCGGCAGCGTGGACTCATCCCCTCCCCAGCCCCTGCTGAGGCCAGCAGGCACCAGCCCAGAGCTCACCATCCATCCCCAAACGTCAGGGTTGGCAAGAAACTGACCTGGCAGGTTCCGGGTCCAGCGCCAGCCAAACAGGGCGCTTCCAGTTTACCTGCCCCTTTGAGGAGGTGCCTGGTGGGCAGGGGGCAACTTTTAAACCTGAGGTCCCAGACTTTCAGTTCTTTCCCTATGCATTTGTGGCCGGCAGAACTGAGAAGCCCCTTCAAGAATTCCTTAGCTGGGTTTGCCTCTGGCAGTGCCTGGTGGCTCCGTGTCTGATGGGGATCTCTGGGCAGGGGTGGTGGCCAGGCAGACGCCGGGCTATTGAGCTGCTGAGCAGTTGGCGTCAGTGCAGCTCAGGGTGGCCCCGGCCCTGGGCTGCTCTGTGTGACGAGCGATTCCATCCCCTAACGTGTGCTGTGTGCCACAGTGTGTCCGTGTCGTGGACGCAGGGGTCAGCGCTGTGGCGGACGGAGGGACGTCTGCCACAGTGTGTCCGTGTCGTGGACGCAGGGGTCAGCGCTGTGGTGGACGGAGGGACGTCTGCCACAGTGTGTCCGTGTCGTGGACACGGGTCAGCGCTGTGGTGGACGGAGGGACGTCTGCCCTGTGCTTCCCACCTCACTGTGCGCAGGCCAGCGGGTGAGCAGCAGAGTCAAAGGGCCAGGCCTCTTGCTTTCTATCCTCAGCCACATTAACCTGGCATTTTCCTGCAGGAGCTTCACAGTTGGGCCGAGGGGCTGGGACTAGGCAGTTTCGTTTCGGTGGGGTAAGGGAAGGGTGCCTGGTACTGCCCAGACTGGCAGGAGGGATTGCCTCATTAACTCCTCGTTAACTTTGCCCTGAGTGATGCTGTGGGTGCGAGAAACACCGGTGGCCCTCCTGCTTCCACTGACCTGAAGGTTCATTAAAGGCTGGAGGCGGGGCGTGACTCATCCAGGGCTGGGATTAAACAATCTGTTCAGATGGAAAGGTCTCATGATCAGAACTGAGCCTTTAAATAGTGCAGGGCCTCTGGTTTCTGGGGGAGAGGAGGCAGGGACACTCACGGAGGATCCTTTGGGTACCAGCGGGGGTCCCTGTGGTTGGGCTGTTCTTGTCACCGGAGGAGAGTTCAGGGGCCAAAGCCTCATTCCAGCCCCTGACTTGGCAGTCAGCTTTTTGTGCGAGTGTTTAGCTGGGAGACACGTGGCATCTGGGTTTGTGGGTTCAGCCAGGGCTCTCGGTATTGAACTTCGCGTTTCTACTTTTCTTTCCTTTTCCCTGTTTGTTTTTTTTTTTTTTTGCCTCAAATCACACTCAAGTAGACCAGGCCCGGTGCCTTCCTCTCCCTCCCATCCTTCCCTCTTCTAGATTCTTGGTTGAGCTTTGGATGGGAAGGGGCTGAATTCTAGATTCTCGCTTGAGCTTTGGAGGGGAAGGGGCTGAAGGAGGAACCCCCCCACCCTGCCCCCGCAGCATCCCCTTGTGGGAGCCGTGAGGAGGCTAAGAGGGCCTGAAGGGAGGCCGGTCCAGAAGCATTTGTCTGTCGGGGAAGTTGAGGCCCTTATAGAGCAACCAAGTCCAAGACGCTCCTGACCCAGACCAGGCCAGATGCTGGCCGGCGGTGGGGACTCAGGCTGAGCCGGCAGGGTGTAAGGAGATTGAGTGCAGCTTCAGGTGACCTTGTCTCTGCCCTGAAGCACAGCCATGTGGGTCTGAGAATCCCCTACTTCCAAAGAGCTCCTCTTAAGCTGGACACCGGCACTGCTGACCCCCACGGTGAGTCCCGTGTTCTGTGATGGGAGCTGCTGCCTTTGCTTCAGAGAGGATCAGAGGTGTTACCTGAGGAAGGGCGGGGTGGAGAGCCCCTCTTGGGCCATTCGGGGAAGCTTCAGGCTCATGATGGTCTTAGAAGAAGGTCCCTTTCTTGGATCACCTGATGTCAGGAGTCCAAGACCAGCCTGGCCAACATGGAGAAGCCCCGTCTCAACTAACAATGCAAAAATTAGCCAAGTGTGGTGGCTCACGCCTGTCATCCCAGCACTTTGGGAGGCAGAGGCGGGTGGATCACCTGAGGTCAGGCGTTCGAGACCAGCCTGGCCAACATGGTGAAACCCCGTGTCTACTAAAAATACAAAAAAAAAAAAAATAGCCGGGCATGGTGGCGGGCACCTGTAATCCCAGCTGCTAGGGAGGCTGAGGCAGGAGCATCGCTTGAACCTGGGAGGTGGAGGTTGCAGTGAGCCGAGATCATGCCACTGCACTCCAGCCTGGGCAACAGAGCGAGACTCGGTCTTGGGGTGGGGGGAGGAAAGGGTCCCTTTCTTTGTCAGCTTGATCGCCACCGCAGGACAACCCCACCCCTCACAGAGCCTGTCGTTTATTCCTTCTTGATGGTACCAGGTGTGCAGACCACGTGCACACCCCAGAGGTTCACTCTACCACTCACTTGGCCATCGAGGGTACACAGGTGCTGGGTACAAGATACAGATATGTCTTGGGCTCGTCTACTTTATTTTATAATCCAGTCTGGGCGTCAGGAAAGATCTCGCAGCCTTCTGCAATAGAAGTCTGGCCTGGCCCGGCTGCCCACCGCCCTTCCTTGTTTCCCGGTGGGAAGAAAGCTTCATCGTGCGTCTTCTCTGTTCACACACACCCCCATAGCGACCCCTCAGCCACAGACAGGGGACTACAGTGCTGCCTCCCCCGAGAGCTGGAGGCCCCTACACCAGCCCACCTCTTCCTGGGCCTATGTGTGGGTCCTGACTGCGGCCAGGCTGGCTGACAGGTTGGCAGTGGGGTCGGGCGACCCTCCCTCTTTTCCACAGCACTTACCCACCTGCCGAGTGGGCAGACCTCACTGCTGGGGCCTCATGAGTACTCTCTGATCTCTCTGCCAGGCCAGCTCCCAAGAGGCTTGCTTGAGTCCGCAGAGCGGGAACCCTGGACTCTGAGAATCTGATGAAGGTTCTGGAGGCCACTCAGACACAGAGCCACCCCATGCACACACTGTGTGCGACTTCAGAGGGGGCTGCAGACATCAAGGCGGGAACCCTGCTCTGAGTGAACTTGGCAAGGTGCCGCTTCTTGGTACCTAGGGAGGGTAGAAGGGCGCTGGTCCTCCCCGGCCTCCCTGCAGGCCACAGACGGCTTGGCCAGCCAGCGGTGCTGGGCGCGGTGCCCCAGCTTTTGGATGGCTCTGGACCAGGGAGAGGAGAACCTGCCAATCAAGGGGGTTCCTCAAAGGCCAAAGCTGCCTGAGCCCAGTGTTGCTGTAGTACCCAGAGGCAATGAGGCCCCAGACATTTTGGAAGGAGCCCCCAAGCCTGCAGGTGTGGCTGGGGGAGCTGCCCCAGGCATTTTGGAAGGAGCCCCCAAGCCTGCAGGTGTGAGTCTGGGGGAGCTGCCCCAGGCATTTTGGAAGGAGCCCCCAAGCCTGCAGGTGTGAGTCTGGGGGAGCTGCCCCAGGCATTTTGGAAGCGCCCCCAAGCCTGCAGGTGTGAGTCTGGGGGAGCTGCCAGGTGTTGGCCACAGGGCGCTGGTGCTGGAGAGGCCTGGCCCTCTGCTGAGTGGCCTCGCTCACTGCCCAGGTGGTTGGGAACTGGTCAGCAGGTGCTGTTCTTTGACCTCGTTTCCCCTGTGAACTCATGCTGGGGCAGGAAGATGTTTGTGTCCTGACGGCCCCCCAGCACCTTCGAGGAACAGACAGTCCCCTGCGCCTGTGACCTGCCTGCCCCACCCTGGGGAGAAACGCAGCGTCAGTCCTGGGTCCAGTGAGCCGTAGACCCTTGGCCCTCCAGGATGGGCCCTGGAGAGGCGGGAGGGGCCCGTGGAGCTGGTCCTGGGCTTCTGTAGAGAGGCCAGGAGGCCCCAGGATCCCCACAGAGACTTCCCCAGTCCCGCTTCAAGACAGCGGAACCAGCTCCTGAGCCGAAATCTGGAGGGATCTCCTTTCTGGACCGTGACCCCAGCCGGGGCTGGTACCGATGACCGGCACAGCCAGAGCCGTGACATCCACAGCGCCCTTCCCATCCGATGCCTGGATGCCGTGGCTGTGCTCGGGGAGGCCTCCGGGGTCCCCAGCCCCTCAGGCTCATGTGGCACAAGGTGCCAGAGAAGACAGGGCGCCAGGCCGGTGGGAGTCAAGGTTTCCCATTTTTCTCGTCTCAGTCTGCTACTTAACTGCTGTGTGCCCGCGAGTACATCCCTTTGCCTCTCTGGTTCTCTGGTATCAGCTCAATGAAGGAGCTGAACAGGATGATCTCCTGGAATCCAGTTCATGTGATGATCTTGGCCATGTCTCAAGATTCCTAGTCCTAAACCTTAAACCCTGAGCACCCTGGGAGAGTCTGTCACAGGGCTGCACCTGGGCCAATGCCAGCCATTCAGTGGACACGGGAGCAGGGGGTTTAGTGGGAACACAGGGCTTCTTGAGCCCTGTCCTGAAGCAGCCCCGGCGGGGAGCCATTGTCACCTCCTTCCCCCATGCCCCAGTTGGTTCCTCTGGCCTGTGAGTATTGCCGGAGCACCTTCCACGTGCCAGGCCTGCAGGAACTAGGGACACAGAGGCGCCCGAGACAGACGAGACCCTGTCTGCAGGAGGAGTCCGTCAACAAATGAGATCCTTGCCGGTCAGATGAGTGCTGTGAAAAAAATAAACACAACTGGGTAACGCAGTAGAGAGTGACGGGGGGATGCCTGGCTTGAGAGGATCACTTTTGAACGAAGATTTAAATGACAAGAAGAATTCAGCCATAAAAAACCTGGGGGCAGTGCATTCCAGGCCAAAGAACCGGCAAGGTCCACACCCCGAGGCAGGTGTGCTCAGAGGCAGAGGGGGACAGTGTGGGGCGTTACGTGGGGTCAGGGGACGGCGGCCAGGCGACGTGGGGCCCTGCGGTTCAGGACAGGGCCTTTAATCCGAATGCAGTGGGAAGCCGCGGGGTGTTCAAGCACAGTTCTGTGACGATATGTTTTGAACACGTACTGTACGAGGCATCATTCTTAGCCTGTGACGCAACTGAGGTGACACTTACAAGGTGCTGTTATTCACACTGTTTATTTATTTATTTGTTTGGGTTCTTTTGTTTTTGTTTGCTGTTGTTGTTTTGAGACAGAGTCTTGCTGTGTCGCCCAGGCTGGAGTGCAATGGCGCGATCTCGGCTCGCTGCAGCCTCCGCCTCCCGGGTTCAAGCGATTCTCCTGCCTCAGCCTCCTGAGTAGCTGGGATTACAGGTGCCCGCCACCACGCCCGGCCAAGTTTTGTATTTTTTTTTTTTTTTTTTTGAGACGGAGTCTCGCTGTCGCCCAGGCTGGAGTGCAGTGGCGCAATCTTGGCTCACTGCAGGCTCCGCCCCCTGGGGTTCACGCCATTCTCCTGCCTCAGCCTCCCGAGTAGCTGGGACTACAGGCGCCCGCCACCTCGCCCAGCTAATTTTTTGTATTTTTAGTAGAGACGGGGTTTCACCGTGTTAGCCAGGCTGGTCTTGAACTCCTGACCTCAGGTGATCCACCCGCCTCAGCTTCCCAAAGTGCTGAGATTACAGGCGTGAGTCACTGCGCCAGGCCTAAATGTGTTTTGAATTTTGTTTTACATTTTTAATTTTTTTTTTTTTTTTTTTTGTGGGAGTCTCACTCTCTCGCCCAGGCTGGAGTGCAGTGGCACCATCTCGGCTCACTGCAGCCTCCATCTCCCAGGCTCAAGCAATCCTCCCACCTCAGCCTCCCAAGTAGCTGGGTCTACAGGCATGTACCAACATGCCTGGCTAATTTTTGTATTTTTTGTAAAGACGAGGTTTCGTTATGTTGCGCAGGCTGATGTTGAACTTCTGGCTTCAGTGGATCCACCTGCCTCCGCCTCCCACAGTGCTGGATTACAGGCGGGAGCCCCCGTGCCTGGCCCAGACTGTTTTTATATATGAGGAATGAGGCTCAGAGAGTGACTCAGATGAAGTCACGTGAGTGGCTTAGCCGAGGGGCGACGTTCAGACCCCGGCCACTCAGCCTCAGCGCAGGCTCTCACCCGCGGTGTCCTGCCTTCCGTGGCCGGTTGGGGTTGGGCTGCGTGCCCCAGATGGGAGCGTCTGGAGACGCCGGGCTCCTGCCCGTCAGGCATCAGTGTGGTGCCCGTCCTGGCACGCTGTGCATAGCAACAGGCAAGACGGTTCTTCTCGACGACGCCACTGAACGTGAGACTCGGAGCAAGGCAAGGCCTGGGAGGGGCCGCTCAGAGCTGACCTGGGCCCTGGAATTGCTGGAGCCCCTCACGTCCCCGGCAGCAAGCTCCATGCCCAGAAAGTGTTCTGGGCCCGGGCAGGGAGGGTGAAGCTGGTATCAGAGAAGGCTGTTGATGCTGCTTTTTTTTTTTTTTTTTTTTTTTTTGAGATGGAGTCTCGCTCTGTCGCCCAGGCTGGAGTACAATGGCACAATCTCGGCTCACCGCAACCTCCGCCTCCTGGGTTCAAGCGGTTCTCCTGCCTCAGCCCCCTGAGTAGCTGGGTTTACAGGCATGTGCCACCACGCCGGGGTAATTTTTGTATTTTTAGTAGAGACAGGGTTTCTCCATGTTGGCCAGGCTGGTCTCGAACTCCTGACCTCAGGTGATCCTCCCACCTAGGCCTCCCACAGTGCTGGGATTACAGGTGTGAACCACCGCGCCCAGCCCTGTTAATGTTTCTTAACCACTCCAGGTCCAGCTCGAGGCTTCAGAGCCCATGGAGGTCTGACAGGTCCTTGGCCTTCCCGTGGCCTCCAGCGTGAAGCTTCCTGGTCAGGACCACAGAAGGCCTCTCATCTTGGACTTTGACCTCTGAGGGCGCCCCTTTCCTTTCAGGACAGGGCCTCCGTGTTGCTTTGGCCCTGGCCTGTTCCTTTTCTCAAGAGGGCCCCACTGCCCCTGCCCTTGCCACTCTGGCATCCTCGACCTGCCCTGGGCTGGGGCAGGGCCGGCTTCCTGGCTGGTATTTGTAGCCCAGTTCTGAGCTGAAGCTGAAGCCTCCAGGCTGCCTGCACAGGGAGGCAGTGGTGGGGTGGGCTGGCCCTGAGGAAGACGGAGCCCTAGGCCGCTGGGGGAGATGTGCCTGGCTGTGGGGCCTCCAAGAGCAGCCCAGGTTTGGATTTTGTCTGCTTCTCCTCAAGGTCAGCCATGCCCAGCCCGGGGGCTAAAAGCAAAGTGGGTGCCAGGGCAGGCAGAGGCTCTGGAGTGGACGTGGGGCCGGCAGAGGCGCTGGAGTGGACGTGGGGCCGGCAGA
The DNA here is from genome assembly GCF_000001405.40 of Homo sapiens. Lineage (NCBI taxonomy): Eukaryota > Metazoa > Chordata > Mammalia > Primates > Hominidae > Homo > Homo sapiens. Next base: position 62,402 of record NT_187664.1, on the reverse strand, counting down.
GGCGCTGGAGTGGACGTGGGGCCGGCAGAGGCGCTGTAGTGGACGTGGGGCCGGCAGAGGCTCTGCAGTGGACGTGGGGCCGGCAGAGGCGCTGGAGCGGACGTGGGGCAGGCAGAGGCTCTGCAGTGGACGTGGGGCCGGCAGAGGCTCTGGAGCGGACGTGGGGCAGGCAGAGGTGCTAGAATGGACGCTGGGGAAGGCAGGTTGCTGCGGGTGCTAAGAGGCTAGCCTGCCTTGGACAAAAGCGTCGTTCAGAGCTGCTAATCCCCTTCCTCCCATGAGGCTTGGGGAACTTCGAAGTTCTCTGGTGTTGGAGGGGAAGCCAGCCGAGGCCCTGGGACACGGCATCAGCCCGAGCCTATCTGTGGCTGGCCTGGGTATGGCAGGTGGGCACACCTTGGCTGCAGGACACCTTGGCTACAAGGGAGCCTGGCTGACCCTGCAGGGTGAGGGCTGGAGAGGCGGAGCCTGCCTGGCCTAGCAGTGTGGATGCCAAGCCATGGGAAGATGTGTGGAGAGTTTATGGAGCCTGGCCCGGTGTCCCCAACCCAGCTGCTGAGCTGGAAGCCAGGGGTAGGTCCTGGCAGCCCCTCCCTCTCTGCCCTGCCTCTCTCGGAGTCGCTCGGAGCAGTCACGTTGACGGAATCCTCCGGCGCCTCCTCGAGGGAGGAGAGGCAGGGTCTTGGCAACTCCCGTCTCCCCCGTTGCCAGCTTGCCAGCCCCGCCGTGCCTCTCACGCCTGTGGTCTGCCCCAATGACAGGCCGGCTTCGGTGTCCCAAGGGGACCCAGCCCTGAGCGTGGGGCTGCCCTTGGGGGAGGGCAGGGGAAAGCCAGCCCGGGCTGCCACCGTGGCCGCTGGCCTGGGAGCCCCAGGAAACGTGCCCACCCTCAGACCCGATGCCTGGCTCAGGGCCTGGGCTCCGCGGCCCCTCCAGGGCAGGCGTGAAATGTGCCCACACAGCTCCACCTTCCACGTGGTTCCCTGTCCGGGGGCCACTTGCACTGAGGTCCTTCTGGAGTCATTTTCTGTTTTTTTTTTTTTTTTTTTGAGACAGAGTCTTGCTCTGTTGCCCAGGCTGGAGTGCAGTGGTGCTATCTTGGCTCACTGCAACCCCTGCCTCCCGGGTTCAAGTGATTTCCGGCTAATTTTGTATTTTTAGTAGAGATGGGGTTTCGTCAGGTTGGCCAGGCTGGTCTCGAACTCCTGAGCTCGAGTGATCCGCCCGCCTCTGCCTCCCAGAGTGCTGGGATTACAGGCATGAGCCACCGCGCCCGGCTGGGAGTCATTTTCTAGCGTTCCTGTCCCACCTCTCAGGAACAGATTTACCACCTTTGTTGTGAAGAAGCATTTTTTTTTTTTTTCTGCCGCCAGGCTGGAGTGCAGTGGCACAATCTCAACTCCGGCTCACTGCAACCTCCGCCTCCCGGGTTCAAGCGATTCTCCTGCCTCAGCCTCCCCAGTAGCTGGGATTACAGGCACCCGCCACCACGCCTGGCTAATTTTTGTATTTTTAGTAGAGACGGGGTTTCGCCACGTTGGTCAGGTTGGTCTCGATCTCCTGACCTTGTGATCCGCCCGCCTCGGCCTCCCAAAGTGCTGGGATGACAGGCGTGAGCCACCGCACCTGGCTGAAGAAGCACTTTTTTTTATGAACCTCTGCAACCCCCTCTGAGGGAAACCCTCCCGCATTCTGGGATGCCGGGGCTCAGAGGGTGGAGGGTAGAAGAGCGCCAGCCGTGAGAGGCAGGATGGGGCGGCCCCCGAGGGCAGGGCTGTGCCTGGAGGCAGGGCTCCTCGGGGGGTCAGCTCCTGGGCGGTGGGAGTGACCGAGTGGGCTCCTGAGGGAAGCGGCTTTCAGGAAGGAGGCGGAGGCCTGGGAGCTCTTGGGGCCCTGGCAAATGTGGTCTTCAGATTCCCGTCGTCCAGTGAGCCCCTGGATCACGTCCTGAGTGGCGTCCACTGAAGGCTGCTTGGGACCTCTGCTCCCCCCTCCACTGAGACCCCCAGTGGCCAGTTCTAAGTCCCACCTGCCTTGGGCAGGGCCACCACAGGCCCCTTACTGTGGATTAAAGGGCCCTGGGTGAGGGCTTGTGGGAGGGGAGGTGGTGGAAACCATCTCCGAAGACCTTGGGGCGAGCTGCGTGCTGGAGTGGAGAGTGTGGCCCAGCAGGCAGGAGCACTGGGTTGGAATGGGGGCTCTGCCACCTCCGAGGGAGCAGGAGTGGAGACCGGAGGGAGCGTGCCCCTGAATCCGAGCACGGGGAGCTGGCCGGGAGCAGCCCTCCGGGCAGAGGCAGGAGAAATGGGGTCACCTGCCCCAGGGGGTGAGAGGTGAGCCGAGAGGAAGGGCTGAGACCCTCAGGGGCATCCCCAGGATGTTCCTGAAACTCAGCCCTGGAGGACGCTCAGGTGTGCGTGGAGCACCCTCTGCCCTGGAGCCTCAAATCCTCTCCCCGCTGCGGGGCCACTTTGCTGATTCCTGCCCCAAACATGAGGTCACTTCGGTCCAGAAAGGCGAGGCGACCTCCACCAGCCACCTACGGGATTCTTGGCAGAGAATCCACGCTCACCTTCGGGTCTTCACTCCTGCTCCCTCGGAGGTGACGGAGCCCCATTTCAACCCGGTGCCCCTGCCTGCTGGGTTTTCGCCGCAGGGGACCTGGTCGTCTCCTGGACATGAGCCCCCAGCGCCAGCGTTTCTCTTTGGGAGAGGCCTGAATGCGCAGTCATGATTTGACCAGGCGAAGTGCCCAGACAAAGAGAAAACAGTCGGCCGGATGCAGGGGCTCACGCCTGGAATCCCAGCACTTTGGGAGGCCGAGGCGGGTGGATCACCTGAGGTCAGGAGTTGGAGACCAGCCTGGCCAACACGGTGAAACCCCGTCTCTACTAAAAATACAAAAATTAGCCGGGCGTGGTGGCTCGTGCCTGTAGCCCCAGCTACTCGGGAGGCTGAGGCAGGAGAATCGCTCGAACCCGAAGGTGGAGGTTGCAGTGAGCTGAGATCGCGCCACTGCACTCCAGCCTGGGCGACAGAGTGCGACTCCGTCTCAAAAAAAAAAAAGAAGGAAATAGTTGAGCTGCTCTCAGTGACCATGTACGGCCCAGTCGTCGACCCCTGGCCCAGTCGTTCGTCCGCCTTTTGGCTCCACGATGTTTTGCAGCCTGTTTCTGTCTCCTGCCTGTGGCCCACCTTGGGGAGGCCCCAGTGCTCGTGTGCCCCTGGTGGTCTTCCCAGCCTGACCCTTCACGAGCTCCCTCTGTCTCCCTGCTTCAGGTGATCAGACATCCCCCAAGTACCTGCTCCCCTGGGCCCATGGAAGGCACCTGTCTGCTGGGACCAGAGGGTGAGCAGTCAGGTGTCCCATCCACCAACGTCCCAGGGGCCAGCCCCTCCACCCCGGTGCTAATCTCATCAGGAAATAGCACAGTCCACATTTCCCAGGAGTTATAAATAGCCAGCGCAGTTGCGGGCAGCAGCGTTTCTCTGGAAAATGTACGCTGTGCCTCTCCCTCCCTCCTCTGTGTTTAAATGATATCCTGAAATAGACTTGGTTTCTGGAGGCTGATAGCCTCCTGGGAAACAGAGCGTCGTTGTCAGGGCACCGTGGGGCCAGGCAGGCCTCTCTGAGCGGATACCAGGGCCACACCTGCAGCAGGCACCAGGGCCACACCTGCAGCAGATACCAGGGCCACACCTGCAGCAGGCACCAGGAAGATGTCAGGGCTTGAGGGGCTTACAGCTTAGGAAAGTGCCCCTGGCCCAGGCCTGGCCTCAGAAGGGGCTGGAGTGTGTGAGACAGCAGCAAGTGTCGCCTGGGAGGCTGCAGAGGGTAGATCTTAGTGGAGCAGGAAGGCAGAGAGGACCCAAAGTTTCCCACTGTGACCTGGGGCTCTCCGAGAAGGCTCTCTGGAGGAGGCGGGGCGAGAACTGGGCCTTAGCATCAGGAGGTGCAGTCCTGGGTCAGATGTGCCCAGGTTGAACCTGGCAGCTGGAGCGGAAGTGATGGGCACGAGGCAGCGGGAGGGCTGTACTGGGGGTGGCCTCCCAGCACCAGGTCTGCCCACCGGGTCGGGACACACACCAGGAGGCCCGATGTTGCCTTTCTGAGGAAGCAGCAGTTACAGCAGCTGCGGGTCATGGACTTCACACATTCTGCAGTTTCAGCAGAGAGGGTGCTGGGGGCCTTGATTTTGAACCCCAGCTCTGACTTCCTAGGTGTGCACTGGGTAAATTCCTCACTCTCGTTAAGCTGCAGCATCCTCATCTGTGAGATGGGAGCGGCTATGAGAGCTTAAACCGCATATGTCTGCTATCATGATCATGAACGCAGATGCTGTGTGTAGAGGATTCATCAGTGTCAGACTTGCAGGAAGAGCTCGAGATAAGTCCGTTGCTCTCACTCTTCCATAACAGCCCTGTGAGTCAGGTGTGGATGCCTCCATGAGGAAATTGAAGTTCACGGAGGTGAAAGGCCTTGCCCGAGTGCGCACGGTTGAATGGGAGACTCAGATCAGCCTGCCTCCAAATCCTGCACACTCCCCCCGACCAGGTTGTGTCCAGGTCCCCCTGAGACTTGGGAAGGGACCATTGGCTCAGCTTCCTGCAGAAGCTGCCAGGAGGCACCCAGTCGTGGGAAGCTGGGGCGGAGGAGGGGCTGTGGGTGAATCGGACCAGGGGCCATGGAATTGGCCTGAGGCTTATGCTGATGTGTGGAGAGACCTGCCTCAAGAAGGGGTGGTCTCAAAACATCGAACTGCGCCCCATAAATACATACAACTGCAATGTGTCAATTAAAAAATAAGGGCCCGGGCCAGGCGTGGTGGCTCACGCCCGTAATCCCAGCACTTTGGGAGGCCGAGGTGGGCGAATCACGAGGTCAGGAGATCAAGACCATCCTGGCTAACACGGTGAAACCCCGTCTCTACTAAAAATACAAAAAATTAGCCGGGGGTGGTGGCGGGCGCCTGTAGTCCCAGCTACTCAGGAGGCTGAGGCAGGAGAATGGCGTGAACCCGGGAGGCGGAGCTTGCAGTGAGCCAGGATCGCGCCACAGCACTCCAGCCTGGGCGACAGAGCAAGACTCCGTCTCAAAAATAAATAAATAAATAAAAAATAAGGGCCCACACAGTGGTACATGCCTGTAATGCCAGCTCTTCAGGAGGCTGAGGCAGGAGGATCACTGAAGCCCAGGGCAACATAGCAGCCTGGACGGCACAGTGAGACCCTGTCTCTAGAAAAATAAATACAGGCCGAGTGCGGTGGCTCACGCCTGTCATCCCAGCACTTTGGGAGGCCAAGGTGGGCGGACCACCTGAGGTCTGGAGTTCAAGACCAGCCTGGGCAACATGGTGAAACCCCATCTCTACTAAAAATAAAAAAATTGGCCAGGCATGGTGGCTCACACTTGTAATCCCAGCACTTTGGGAGGCCAAGGTGGGTGGGTCATTTGAGGTCAGGAGTTCGAGACCAGCCTGGCCAACATGGTGAAACCCTGTCTCTACTAAAAATACAAAAATTAGCCGGGTGTGATGGTGCGCACCTGTAGTCCCAGCTAATTGGGAGGCTGAGGCAGAAGAATCGGTTGAACCTGGGAGACGGGTTGCAGTCAGCCGAGATCACACCACTGCACTCCAGCCTGGGCAACAAGAGTGAAACTCTGTCTCAAAAAAAAAAAAAAAAAAAAAAGAGGGCATGGCCGCTCCAGAATGTTTCTTCCAAGGGTAGCATCTCAGTTGACAAAGAGCATTTGATTCCTCCACCCTGTGTGGCTACTGCTGGGGGACAGAGCTGGGGACAGACCCAGGCCCGGCTCCGTGTCCAGACGAGATGAAGGAACTACGAGGGACAGCCTGTGTGATCCAGGAGGGTTTGCAAAGAACAGAAGCAGCTTAGAGGGGAGAGAGGTTTCGGGAAAGTAAGGCCAGAGCTGGGGCTTCCTTTGAGACCCTGTAGGACCCCTGCCTCCAGCCGGGCTGGTGATGGCCTCACGCTTCCCGTGTGTGAAGAGGTGCCCGGAGCAGTGGTTCTCCCTGAGGGGCACTTGGTTCTCTGCACACACCCAACTTCTGTCTCCTGTTCTGGGTTCCATCCCTTCTCTGGGCAGGGCGAACCCAGTGCAGACCCAGACCCCGTCGGAGGCTTGGGTACCACCTGCCCCCAGCCGGTGTGTGGGTGATAGATGTGGGAAGGACCTACATCGAGCTGCAGGAAGCCCAAGGCTGACCCAGATCCAGTTTCCCTTCCGTGATGACAGTGGCCTGTTATAGCAACTGCGTTCAAACCGTGGCACGCACACCTCAGAGTGCACAGAGACGTTCTGAGGGCGACGTGGGCAGGAGAGTTTTCAGGAAATCAGTTTGCAGATTCTCAGCTGCCATAGGTGCTATTGCCAGAAAGCCATCTGCCTGAGAGCCAGCATCTCGCCATCCTGTCCTCTGCAGAGGAGAGGCCTGAGGCTGGCTGTCGGGGCTTGGCCCGGGGTGCGCAGACCTCCTGGGTGGGGAACAGAGGGGCTTTTAGAAATGTTGGGGTAGGGGCCAGGCATGGTGGGTCACACCTGTAATCCCAGCACTTTGGGAGGCCGAGGCAGGTGGATCGCCTGAGGTCAGGAGCTCGAGACCAGCCTGGCCAACATGGTGAAACCCCATCTCCACTACAAATAAAAAATTAGCTGGGCGTGGTGGCAGGCACCTGTAATCCCAGCTACTCGGGAGGCTGAGGCAGGAGAATCACTTGAACCCGGGAGGTGGAGCTTGCAGTGAGCCGAGACTGCACCACTGCACTCCAGCCTGGGCGACAGAGCGAGACTCCGTCTCAAAAAAAAAAAAAAAAAGAAACGTTGGGGTCAGTGTTCAGAAAGTAAAAGACTCTAGTGGCCACTTAGAACCTTTCAAAAGTCAGGTGGTATCCAGTTCTTTGCCTTCCACAAAACTGATGGAGGACTCAATTTTCAACTGAGAGATCATTTCAAGTAATTTTCAGTAATAGGTATATATGCGATTTAAGGCGGATAGCATGGAGAGAGGTTAAAGAATGGTGTAACGCGGCTGTGATAAAACTCTTTTCGACCTCATCTACTTCTTTATGTGAACAAAATGTTTCATTGTTCACATATTTCTTGTTCATTTTAGAGACATGGTCCTACATTGCCCAGGCTGGTCTCGAACTCCTGGGCTCAAGTGGTCCTGTGGCTGGGAGCCACAGCACCTGCACATCTTTACAACAAAACCAGAAACATGAACCAAATTGATGCTGAGCCTCGTTTCACTCTAGCAAAAAATAATACCCTATAGATACGCGAACTAAAGCAAAAAATGTTCCGCCCATCTCATTGAGAGAGCATTCCACCAAAAAGTTACTCTGCTACTTAATATTTATTAAAATGTATAATGAGGCCAGGCGCGGTGGCTCACGCCTGTAATCCCAGCACTTTGGGAGACCGAGGCGGGTGGATCACCTGAGGTCGGGAGTTCGAGATCAGCCTGACCAACATGGAGAAACCCCATCTCTACTAAAAATACAAAAAATTAGCCGGGTGTGGTTGTGTGTGTCTGTAATTCCAGCTACTCGGGAGGCTGAGGCAGGAGAATCGCTTGAACCCAGGAGGCGGAGGTTGCTGTGAGCCAAGATCGCACCATTGCACTCCGGCCTGGACAATAAGAGCGAAACTCTGTCTCAAAAAAATAAATAAAATGTATATAATGTGTCGGCTTACTTTTTTTTTTTTTTTCTTGAGACAGGGTCTCACTCTGTCGCCAGGCTGGAGTGCAGTGGTGTGATCTTGGCTCAATGCAACCTCCACCTCCTGGGTTCAAGCGATTCTTCCATCTCAGCCTCCCAAGTAGTAGCTTGGACTACAGTGCCCGCCACCACACCCGGCTCACTTTTGTATTTTTAGTAGAGACAGGGTTTTGTCATGTTGGCCAGGCTGGTCTCGAATTCCTGACCTCAGGTGATCCACCAGCCTCAGCCTCCCAAAGTGCTGGGATTACAGGCGTGAGCCACCGTGCCTGGCTGTCTTTTTAATTATGTACTGCCAATCATGGTACTAACTAATCCTGAATATATTTTGAATATTTGGAGCCTTGTGGTCTCTGGAAATTTTTGTTTTCAATGTATACAGATTTTTTTTGTGGAAGCAAAATGTAATGGTGAATAAAGGACTTGAAAATATAAAAATATAAACTAGGACAACATTCTTTAGGAGAAATGGAATAGAAACAAATTCAAGGAGAGAAGATCCAGGAGCTCTGTGAGGGAAAGAAGAGCTTGTTTGTGTAGTTTTTTGTTGTTGTTGTTTTTTTTGAGACGGAGTCTCACTCTGTCGCCCAGGCTGGAGTGCAGTGGTGTGATCTCCGCTCACTGCAACCTCCACCTACTGGGTTCATGCCATTCTCCTGCCTCAGCCTCCCCAGCAGCTGGGACTACAGGCGCCCACCACCGCGCCCGGCTAATTTTTTGTATTTTTTTTTTTTTAGTAGAGACGGGGTTTCACCGTGTTAGCCAGGATGGTCTCGATCTCCTGACCTCGTGATCCGCCTCCCTCGGCCTCCCAAAGTGCTGGGATTACAGGCATGAGCCACCGTGCCTGGCCTGTTTTCTTAATATTGAATTTTGAGAGTTTTATATAATAAGCCCTGAAATTGGGTAATATTAGCCCTATAGCTGTGTTCTTTTTCAACATTGTTTAGATGTTTTTTCTTTTTTTTTGAGACGGAGTCTCGCTCTGTCGCCCAGGCTGGAGTGCAGTGGCGCGATCTCGGCTCACTGCAAGCTCTGCCTCCCGGGTTCACGCTATTCTCCTGCCTCAGCCTCCCAAGTAGCTGGGACTACAGGCGCCCGCCACCACGCCCGGCTAATTTTTTGTATTTTTAGTAGAGACGGGGTTTCACCGTGTTAGCCAGGATGGTCTCGATCTCCTGAGCTCGTGATCTGCCTGCCTTGGCCTCTCAAAGTGCTGGGATTACAGGCGTGAGCCGCCACGCCTGGCCTCGTGTAGTTTTTAAATGGATGAGTGTGGGTATCACGTCGCTGGGGTATTTAGATCCCACTGAATCCATGAGAAGGAATGATGTCACACTTTTATTTTAGGATGGCAATATTGACATGATTTTGGAAATCATACTCTTTGCAACTATTTAAACTTGGAAATGTTCAGATTTTGACTTCAGAAAGTGCCAGGGAGCGCACAGTTGCTCAGAATTAGTTCGCAGGTGCACAGGCAGACGGGCGCGAAGGCCCCCGAGTTACAGAAACAGAACGTGGAACAGTCCTGTGTGAGGGTTGCCTCTGACCTCCCCTGGGGTCCGCACCTCCCTGGGCTCCAGCCCGAGCCTGGGGACTTCCCCTGTGGAGGATTTGCTTATTTGGGAGCCAATGGCTTGACCCAAGTTTTCTCCCTGAATCTTCCCAGCAATCCCAGGGAGGCAGGTTCTGTTGCAGATGGAATAACTGAGGCTTAGTGAGTTTAAAACTTGCCAGGATTCAAACCCAGGCAGCCTCCTGTGCGCGGGCTCCTGACTCTTCAACACCTCCACGTGGATGGGCTGGTTCCCTCCTGATGGACTTGAGCGCCTCCTAATCAGGTGCTTACCTTTTGTGAGCCTCAGTTTCTGCATCTGTGAAATGGGGTAATAATACCCATGTCCCGGGCTGGCAGCCAGGAGTGCCTAACAGGGTGTGCCCTGCCTCCCCCACGGTGGGTAACAGAGTGTGCCCTGCCTCCCCCACGGCGGGTAACAGGGTGTGCCCTGCCTCCCCCACGGCGGGTAACAGGGTGTGCCCTGCCTCCCCCACGGCGGCCACAGGGGCCTGGGGGCTAGGGTCCCCCCAAAGGGTTGATTTCCAGGTAAACATCAGCTTATCCCAGCTGCTCACTTCCGCCTTCCTGACTGTGTAGCTGGCTCTGAGCAGTGCTGACCCACGGGGAGATCTCTGGCTTGGCCTCCGAGCTGGCACCTCTCTCACCCACATTCTCTCTCTGCAGCTGGACCCACAAACCGTGGAGACCAAGAACTGGCACACGGACGTGATTGAGATGAACGGGGTGAGCCGGGGATGGGAATGATCAGTGGCGTGAGCCGGGAGGTGGAACGTCTGTGCAGCAGGTGGGCAGCCCGGCCCTGTGGCTGCTCCTGGGGCCGCTGTGCCGCCTCGACCTCCCCGCAGCCCAGCCCCCTCTCCCCTCCTGCCCACACCCTGCCCGCTGCTGTCCTGCAGGTGTTGTGTTGAGGGAGACCTGGGTGTGAGCTAGCCCTCATTTGCAGTCTTGGGGAGGGGACCCCTGTGTTTTGGGGGCATTCCTCGGGCACTCACACCCTGGGGAATCTTTACCTGCCTCACCCCCCAACCAGATCAAAGTGGAATTTTCCATGAAATTCACCAGCCGAGATATGAGCCTGAAGAGGACCCCGTCCAAAAAGCAGACCGGCGTCTTCGGTGTGAAGATCAGCGTGGTGACGAAGTAGGTGCTGCCTCGGGTCTCCCAGTCCTGGCGTCGGTGCCCCGGGTCCCCCCCAGCCCGGGCCCCCCAGCCCTCCCCGCCGGTGCCCATCCTGGCACCTAATCAGTTACCCCCCGCTCGGCGGTGGCAGATGGCCGGTGTGGATCTAGAGTGGCCGCAGAGGCGCTCACAGGACACTTCAGAAGCACGCGAGCCAGCACCTAAACGCTGGAAGGTCTCTTGTGAGATCCCAGATCGTCTGCTCCTCGTAACAAGCGGGAAGCTCTGTCAGCCGGGGGCCTACGTTTGGGCTCGGCACCAACGGGGACTGGCGGCCCCTCGGGAAAGGGCACGTGTCCCCCGGTTCACCACCACCCTGGCCCCTTGTCTCAGGCCTGACCCACCTCCTCATGTGGGCTGCCTGCTGGGCCTCCTACAAGCATCTGAATCTGGGGGACGTTCTTTCCCTAGAGTCTCGGCCTTACCTTCCCAAGTTCCCAAGGCTTCTCCTGCCCACGTCCGTCGATGCCCCTTCGGCAGGCCTCGGGTGGGCTGGCTGGGGTGGGGTGCGGTGGCCTCTTTCTCTGCCCTGCCCCTGCCCCCGCCCCAGCTCTCCATCCCAAATGCTAGAAGCTCTCCAGGGTGTGTGTGTGCTGGGTGGGGGTTGCTACGGGAGAGCTGTCGTGGGGGCTGCCCTCCACCCATCCTCACGCTCCACCCCAGGCGGGAGCGCTCCAAGGTGCCCTACATCGTCCGGCAGTGTGTGGAGGAGGTGGAGAAGAGGGGTATCGAGGAGGTTGGCATCTACAGGATATCGGGCGTGGCCACGGACATCCAGGCGCTCAAGGCCGTCTTCGATGCCAGTGAGTCTGGGAGGCCCAGCCGGGGCAGGTGTGGCTGTGTCTGAGCAGGCTGGTGGGATGGACAGGAGAGCTCGGGGGAACCAGGAGCCTCCCTGGAGAGGAGGCTTGCTCTGCTTCAGAGTCCCCGTGGCAAGTGCTTTCTCTTGTAATCCCCTCCCCTCCAATCTCTTGTCCCTTGCTGCAGGTAAGCAACTGCAGAAACTCACAAGGGCCGACTCACTTGCCCAGGATGACCCAACTTGTAGGTTTTGGTTCTGGACTTAAAACTCAGATCTGACTCCAGTGTCTTTCTTGCTAGTTCCTGGGTGCCTGGTGAGCCGCAGGGAAAGAGCTTTGAGCCTGCACCTGCTGTCTCCAGGGCCCCAGGTCCCCTCTGGGGCAGTGCTGCCTCTGCGTGAAGCCCACCATGGTGAGGCCTGACCTTTCTGGTTTCTCCTCCCTGCTCCTGCTGGTTCAGGTGCAGCAGCCACATACCCCACTGTCAAGAAACCTGCACTGGCCAGGCAGGGATGAATCCGTGGGGAGCCTGGAGTGGAGGACGGGGTGGGGCCTGGGAACTGGCCGGCGTTGGTGCCTCTGTGCAGCCTAGAAGCTGAGGCTTTGTCGGAACATGCTTTTACGTGTGAAAAGTGTGCAATGCCTTCCAGAGAGGGGCTTAGCGATGGAGAGGTTCCAGTCGGAAGGAAGCTGCAGGCCACATGGTATGAATGTGGCTCTGAACTCTGGGTGATGGATTTCACTCCCCAAACACCCTTTCCCAAGCAGCCACAGCAGATGGCCCCCAGGCTATCTCTCCCTGTTCCCCCAACCCCGACCCACAGAGCCGAGTCACAGACACCTGTGGGCCCTCTCTACATCCTGCTCTTCCAGGGGAGACCAGAACCAGAGCTGGAGTGGGTGGGGGCTGTGTCAGGATGGGTCGGGGGTGGAACGGGGCTGCTGGCCCAGCTAAGGCTGCCTGACCTCGGCCCCACCCCTGCAGATAACAAGGACATCCTGCTGATGCTGAGTGACATGGACATCAACGCCATCGCCGGGACGCTCAAGCTGTACTTCCGGGAACTGCCCGAGCCGCTCCTCACGGACCGACTCTACCCAGCCTTCATGGAGGGCATCGGTGAGGCCCTGAGGGCTCCTAGGACTGGGCTGGGCCAGACTGAGCCAGGACTCCCTGCCCGGAGAAGTAACCAGCAGGAGAAATATCTGTGGCTTCCTTTGCTGGCTGACCTTCCCAGTGCACTGGGGCCTGTGGCTGAGGGGTCCGAGGGTGAGGTGTGGCCTGCTGGGACCTGGTGCAGACACTGGGCCCTTTCTCGCCTGCCTCTTGCCCCTGATGTCCCCATGGGCAGCCCCTTCTGCTTCCTATTTGGACGTTGGCCTCTTGCTTGGAAGCTCGAGCATCCAGGGAAGACTGCCCTGAGGTGAGTGGCCAGAAGCCAGCATCCCAGAACCAAGGAGGAGGCTGGCTTAAGCCATAGGGCACTCGAGATGGGTTGTGCTGAGCCTTCCAGCGGGACCACACACCGTCCCGTCACCTCTGCGGAGGGCCCCGGCCAGCAGGCCTTCCGCCTCCACCCACCTGGGCCAAACCCAGCCCCAAGGAATCCCTTCAGCCTTCTCTGCTCCTGGGGCAGACTGGAGCTTCAGCCCCCACGGAAGGCTGCTTGCACCCACGCTCCAGCAGCAGAAGGGGTGGAGAAAGAGAATCCACCGCTGGCAGGATATGTCCCTACTGGCTTAACCTTAGCCACACAGACCAGGGGGTGTCCTGTTACGAGACAGGGGATGCCCCAGCACCCAAGGCCTATGCAGTCAGCTGCAGGAAGGGGGTCTGCTCCCACCAGCCGGCCTCCTGGCTGAGTTACCAGTCGTGGTGGGGCCTCCTGGAGGAAGCAGCTGCTGACAGCCCACCCAGACACCAGGCCCTCCCCTGTGGGGTCTGCTCCCCAAAGGCCTGGAAGCCTGGGCTCTCTCCCGCAGGGGCCCACAGCCTCACGACCACAGGGGCCCTGGCGGGGAGCCCCAGGAGCCAAACGCCACACTGGCCCTTCTCTCCCACAGCCCTGTCAGACCCTGCTGCCAAGGAAAACTGCATGATGCACCTGCTCCGCTCCCTGCCCGACCCCAACCTCATCACCTTCCTCTTCCTGCTGGAACACTTGAAAAGGTAACGGGGAGCGGCCCCAACCCCACCTCCTCAGTCCCTCCTCATGAAAAGGTAACGGGGAGGGGCCCCAACCCCACCTCCTCAGTCCCTCCTCGTGAAAAGGTAACGGGGAGTGGCCCCAACCCCACCTCCTCAGTCCCTCCTCGTGGGCGCTGGCCTCCATCGGGCTGTCTGTGGGGAGTGAGAGTTTGCTTTCCAAGTTCTTGCACTCATGTTTTTCTGTTTTGAGAAATATTTGGGTCCCGTAACCAGTAGTAACCTCAAATATTGACCATAGAATGCTCAGAATGGCAGGGTGAGAGCCCAGGACTACAGGCAGGTTTTATAATCAGTGGGTCCCAACCTACTGGTGGTTCATTCAACGAATGTAGCCATTTCTAGATGCAGTGGGGGGTGGACAGCAGTGGGGGGTGGACAGCAGTGGGGGGTGGACAGCAGTGGGGAATGGACAGTAGTGGGGATGGACAGCAGTGGGGGAATGGACAGCAGTGGGGATGGACAGCAGTGGGGGACAGACAGCAGGAGGATACATTGTAAGCCTTGATGCAGGTGCTGCTTTTCAGTTACATAGAGACGTGTGGACTGTGTTACAGCATGGGTTGTATTGTGGGCCACAGTCAAAAAAGGTGAAACCCACTGGTCTTGGCCCACACCTCACTAGACATAGGGAAACTGAGTCCCCACACCAGGCGGAGACTTGCTTGGGTTAGTAGCAGACCTGTCCTTAGAGCCCTCAACTTCCAGATCCTAAATTCAGACCCTTCTTGCCTTCCCACCACCCTTTCTAGTCAGGTCCAACCAAGAGTGGCTAAAGTTGGTTGTACTTGTAGCAAAGTTCAGAGGTCCTCAGGCTTGCGTGGGGAGGTGGTCCCTGGGCGTCCCTTAAACCCACCTGCACGCCAGGACCGGGGAGCCCCCTCAGACTGCTCTGCGGAACAATTCTTCCCTGAGCTCAGCCCCAGCTCAGGGCCAGGCCCCCCGCTGCAGCTCAGCCACGCCAGGCTCGGGAGAGCCAGTGGAGACCTGGACGCGCCCGGGGCTGGTGTCTTGTTTTTCCCATCATGAAACATTTTTCCTCTGGTTTGGCCAGGACTAGAGCCCCAACCAATTCCGAAAGCATTTGGCAAGCCTTGTGGGGAGGAGTGGGAAGGGAAAATTCATTCGGCTTCCACCCTGGGAACTGGGCACAGTCTGTTCCCACATCTGGGCCCCTGGCTGGACCGTGTGCGCGCGTGTGGTGAGGGGCTGGCCCCGCTGCACAGCTGCCTGTTGGCATCACAGTGTTTGTTTGCCTGTTTCCAAAGCAGGCGCAGCCACAGCTCCTGCCTGGAGGGTGGGAATGATGGTATTGAGGGTGAGAGGCGCTGCTTAGGGTGGGTGGGTCTCAGCCCAGAAACATTTTTTGAGACTGAAGGAGAACCAGAGGCCCTCTGATATGTTTGCTGACCCTGGGCCTGCCTGGACACCAGCCCTGATGGCAGCTCCTGCTGTTACCCCAGGGAAGCATCGCAGAGCATCTGGCCTGTTGAGTAAGAGAAGCAGGAGAGGATCCAGAGGGAGGACAATCCTGGGTCCCACGAGGCAGACGGAGAGGCATAGGAGGCAGCCCTGGGTCCCATGAGGCAGACCCTTCCGGAGAGGCACAAGAGGAAGCCCTGGGTCCCACGAGGCCGACCTTTCCGGACAGGCACGGGGGGACAGTCCCCGGGCTCATCTGGAAGTAGGGCTGCTCCTGCCCCAGCACAGCTGGCAGAGCCCCGGGTCTAGCTAGTGACTCCTGCTGGGCTCCAGGCCCTGCCTGCCTTTCTCCCCTGCCCCACCCACCTTAACTCTTCTTTTGGGCCACTTAGCACATGAGAAAGCAACAGAGCGGTAGGTCCTGGAGGCAGCTACCGGGGTTCAAATCCCAGCTCTACCAGTTGCTGGCTGTGTGACCTTGGGCAAGTCACTTAACCCCTCTGTACTTCGGTTTCTTCATCTACACGATGGGGGTGACGATAATCATATTTACCTCAAAGGACTGCGGCGAGTGTGAGTTGTTCCAGGGAGTTTTCAGAACAGTATCTGCTCTCAGGCAAGGGAGCTGGAGTTGGCATCTGTGGGCTCCCTGGCTCTGGCAGTTCACCATCAGTTCAGGGGGACCCAGCAGCTGGAGATGTTAGCACAGAACACTGGCACATGGCTGGGGCCCTGCTCTCCTGGATGAGTCCCCTTCCCCCGGGGGAGGTCCCCACTCCTAGGAGACAGAGACGAGGTGACCCCTTCCAGGAGTCCTTCAGGAGTTCCCACAGCGAAGGCCAAGGGTCCTGGAGCTCCGAGTGGCTGCTGAGGAAGGGCTTCTTTCCTCCCCATCTTCTCCTTCTTAGGGTTGCCGAGAAGGAGCCCATCAACAAAATGTCACTTCACAACCTGGCTACCGTGTTTGGACCCACGTTACTGAGACCCTCAGAAGTGGAGAGCAAAGCACACCTCACCTCGGCTGCGGACATCTGGTCCCATGACGTCATGGCGCAGGTACCCTGGCACCGCCCGGGCCCGTGGCTGGCGGAGGGTGACGGTCCCATGACGTCATGGCGCAGGTACCCTGGCACCGCCCGGGCCCGTGGCTGGCGGAGGGTGACGGTCCCATGACGTCATGGCGCAGGTACCCTGGCACCGCCCGGGCCCGTGGCTGGCGGAGGGTGACGGTCCCATGACGTCATGGCGTAGGTACCCTGGCACCGCCCGGGCCCGTGGCTGGCGGAGGGTGACGGTCCCATGACGTCATGGCGCAGGTACCCTGGCACCGCCCGGGCCCGTGGCTGGCGGAGGGTGACGGTCCCATGACGTCATGGCGCAGGTACCCTGGCACCGCCCGGGCCCGTGGCTGGCGGAGGGTGACGGTCCCATGACGTCATGGCGCAGGTACCCTGGCACCGCCCGGGCCCGTGGCTGGCGGAGGGTGAGACCAGCCCCTTAGGAGGAGAGAGAACAGCTCAGAGTCCCCACACCTCTTCCCTCGTGGGAAGCTGGGTTGATGGGCTATGGGGTGTCACCAGGGAGGCAGGACTGTAGACACTTCTGCCCCTCCCAGGCCAAAACAAACATGTGAGCCTAGACCAGGGCCCAGAGATGCTGGCTGCATTCTCAGGAGGGCCTCAGTCTCAGAAAGCAAGCCCAGGGGTGGGGAGATGCTGGGCCCTTGTCCTCATGGGTGGAAGCTCTGAGGTTGCTTCCAAGGGCGGGAGGCTTCCCTGGGATTCCTGCAAGACCCAGAGCAGGGGCCGGACTGTGGCCGCCTCAGGACAGAGCAGAAGCTTATGGCCAGGTTGGGGAAGTGGCCCTAGGCCCCCGACCCTCTGCCCCGTAGCACCTTCCACGGCTGCAGAAAGGCAAACACACCTGGGCTCCCCAGGAAGGGGCGGTGGCCGGAGCCAGTCTAGGGAGTGGGAGGGGCAACACAGGCTGGAGTCAGCAAGGACGAGGCCTAGGACAGGGAGCCCAGCCTCCGCCTTCCTGTCTCCCCACAGGTCCAGGTCCTCCTCTACTACCTGCAGCACCCCCCCATTTCCTTCGCAGAACTCAAGCGGAACACACTGTACTTCTCCACCGACGTGTAGCCCGAGGCAGGGTGGCTGCGGGCGGGTGGTGGAACCAGCCCCTCCAGCCTGGGGTCCAACTCAGACTTGAAAGACTGCAATAGAAAACTCCCAAACCCAGCACTCCAGACTCGAGGGAAGCCAGCTTCCAAGAACTGGAATGCGTACGTCTTTTGTGCCACCTTGTACAAAGCCGGCTGCCCAGCCCCAGCCTCACCACCGCATCCCACCTCCTGCCCTCCATACCTCTAGTTGTGTCTGATGCTCCGTGCTGTTCGGGAATTGTTTTATGTACACTTGTCAGGCAGAAAAGGTAGTGACCGGCCCGGCGTGGGCACACAGACAGCCCGCTTTGTTCTTTCATTTCCTCCAGCACTTTCTTTCCGCCTGAGTCCAGCCCAAGGCCTTTTATTTTGCGCTGTGTAACTGCTGCCAGCTTCTCTCTTGGCCCTGCTCCCAGATGGCGGTCTCCTGGCAGCCTCCCCTCAGTCTTCCTCCACCCGCTCTTCCTTCCCAGCCTGCCTGCATGCATGTGCACCCTTGGTCTTCGCTCCATCGCCTTGAAAGCTCTGAAGAGGCCCTGGGTTGCCGCGGCAGCAGTGGTCTGTTTGATGCTGCCGTTTGCCGCTGCCGGCCCCTCCTCAGACTCCGCCTTTGGGAGCACACCTGCTTTGCCTTGCTGCCTGTGCAAATGTTGGACAAGCAGACACACTCACACTCGTCCCCAGCTTAGCACAGAGCTGGAGCGCCCATTTCTGGAATTTTCCGTTTGGGAATCTCCACTTCTGGGGTTTACCTGTTCGGCCTCCTGTCTATCAGTGAGGCATCTCTGACTGTTTCTTCTACTGCTTTTCAGTTCCCTTCCCTGCTGTTCTATTTCCTTTGAGTGTAAAGACTCACAGGTGACCTGCTATCGAGATAGCCAGAGGGTCAGGAGAGAATGGGGGAGGAGGCGGTCAGGCTGCTGAGGAAACACCACAGGCTGAACGGGGGAGGAATGCACATGCCACGCTGGGTGTCCCGGGTCGCGGGGAGGCAGCTCAGCTCTTAGGAGCAAGTTGTGGGGGCTTTTCAAGAGGGGCCAGGCTTCCTGGAGGGTGACTGATGTGGCCGAAGCAGGTGTCCAGGCAGGTAGGCTGCAGCCAGGAGCTCCCTGGCACCGCAGGACCTCGTGGTACTCTTGCCTTAGATTTTACACACACTCCACAGCCAAGCACTGCCACGGTCCTCCAGGACCTGGGAAGCAAAGGCACAGGCCCACGGTGGCCAGCCATTGTGGTGCCGCCCCAGCTTCTGGATACAGCCTTTTGGGTAAACACTGGGAACTCCAGAAGTTGTGGGGAGAGTGGGGAATCAGACAGCCGCCTCTAGGGGCTGGGTTCTGCTGGGGCCTCCTTGTTGGTGCTGTAGGCACCCGCCAGGGAGCAGGGACCCGACTTGCAGACGCATTGCCCGGTACTAGGAAGGAGTGAGGTGTGTTCCCACCGTACACTTCCCACACGAGCTGCGGCTGCCAGCCTCGGGCCATCAGCCTAGGAGAGCAGATGCAGCTCCAGGGGCTCGACTTATAGCCAGTTACAGCTCCCCGGCTCTTCTGTGTGGCAGAGCGTCGTTTCCGGGCCCTCAGGGCTGGGGAGCTCAGTTCCCATTGCTTGTGCTCAGGGCTGAGTCTTAAAGAAGGGTTTGCCGGCCCTAACGCTGCAGCGCGTGCGCGGTGAGAGGCCCTTTTTGAGCCTGTTTACTCCTGTGGCCTTGGGCAGAACAGTAAATACTCTGTGCACGGAGGAAAGACATGCCCAAGAGGAAGGAAGTACTGACCATCGGCTGCCTGTGAGCAGCTTAGCAAGGAGCCCTTGCTCCCTGGGAAAGGCGGTGAACTTGAGTCTAAAGATGCAGTGCCTGGCCCTTCCTAAGGTCCCTGCCTGGCATCCGAGTGTCGGTGTGTGGCACAGAAGGCTCCTGCTTGCTTCCAAAGTGATGGACAGGAAGGGGCAGAGTGAGTCACGGCCCAGACTGGGCACCTTCGCGTCTCAGCCTCAGGGAGCCCCACAGCCCCAAGCTCGCTGAGGCAACGTGAGAACAGGCTATGGGAAGGCTGCAAAGGCTGAGAAATGCAAAGGCTCATATTTATAAATCCCACCCCCAGAGTGGGGAGGGTCAGGTGCCAGACCTGGACTAAACTGCACCAAGGAAACACCCAGCAGGGTCTCCTGTGAGCCGGGGACCATGCAGCCCGAAACCTCCAGTCACTGCGCCCGGCAGGAGTCAGGAGCCAGGGACTGTGCAGCCTGGAACCTCCAGTCACTGTGCCCAGCAGGGTGGGCTGTGCCCAGCAGGAGTCAGGCTAAGAAACGCCAGGTCTGCCTGTTCTTGCTGGGCAATGGCTGATGGCTGCCAGTTTCTGCTGATACACAGGTAGGATGGGACCCTTCATGAATATCTGACTTTAATAAGTTGGTAAGGATATATTTTTTTGTCTATGTTCTGTTTCAACTTATGTAGATTATTATAAATTGATGTAAACCACGTGAGAGGAAAATGTTAATAAAAAATGCAAAGCCCCATCATTTGCACAAAACTCAGCCCTGTGGTGTGGATGTTTGTGTTCGCGGTGGTCCAGGGAAGCCACCAATGTAAATATTTAACTCTTCCAGCTGCATCCAGATGTGAGTTTCCAGGAATCTGTTTACCTAGTTCACTCCCCTTGAGCCTCCCTGTGGCCCACGGGGGCTGGGGCAGAGCTGCGGGGAGGTGGGCTGGAGCCCTCTCCTTGCTCTTCACAAAGGCCTCCGGATCAGCCAGCATCCAGGCTGCTTCTGGCTCACCTTTGCCATGTGCTGCTACAGTACAAATGTCCCACCTGGCCATCGGTGTGCCTTGAAAGTGGCATGAAGTTGTCCACTGAACAGGAAGCGTCTTCTTTTATGTAAACGCTTCTCTACGCTTTCCTTCAAAGTGGCATATCTTTGAGGCAGCCTTTTGGTCTAATCTGCTTGTCAGAGAAGCTGGGTCTCCGAGGGCCCACCCTCCCTTTGAGAGAGTCAGTGGCGTGAATATTGGCTCCCACCAGCCGAAGCAACTGGACACTGAGTTTATTCTGAAGATCAGGAACAGATGTCTCTGAAAATTGCTGTTTGGTTTATGAGCTCATACTGGCTCCCCAGCCATCGAAAACAGGAAACTATTCATCTCTCGAGTGAATAGGCAGCGTGGACAATGCCTCGCTTACTGAACCGATGGGTACTGACAGCCCTGGCGCTCATCTTTTCCAAGGCTGTTGTGAGGGCAGCATCTCTTGTATTTGGTCCCACGTGCTAGACTGAAAGATGGAAGATCCCAGGCATCCTAGGACTTTGACAGGTACCAGGTGGGAATGTCTGCCCTTGCTTCAGAGTGCTTGTAGGTGTCCTATATTTAGGGACAGCAGAGGAAACAATTTGTTCTGAGCTCTAGGGAACGCTCCAACTGGCCTAGCAGTGATGAAGCCTCCTAGCTGTGAGACTGGGAGGGGCGTTATATAGAATTCACTGTAAAAGGACATGAGCCCTGAGCAGGAACTCACATTCATTCCAAGAAAATGGCAAACATGACCCAAGGAAGGTGTTACCAGCTGGGTTTGACATCATCACTCATGTACAAACACTCGGGCCTCCAGGCCATGTACACTGAGTGTGAACGCTGGTTAAGAGTGTGTGGGCCAGAAGACAGGGCAGATGAGGAAGAAGGCAAAAAAGGAAAGGATAGAGGAATTACCGTATTATAGGAAAAAGGAGACTCATCACCACTGGCTGAAGGTGCCCAGCACTGTGTGGCCCCCACCAAGCGACCTGCCTGTGCCCCACCCAAGAGCAAAGGCCTGACTCCAGCAGTGTCATCCCCCCACAGAGCACCAGGGTAAAGCAGCACCAGTGCTGAAGCCCAACTGTAGACGGATTTTTTTTTTTTTTTTTTTAATATCCATGGCACACAACTAGGCCAAGAAAAATACCACAAGGTCAAGTCGAAAACACGACATGTTAAAACACTTCCTTGACCCTGGAGAACGAGGATGGTGGTGAACAGCCCCTCAGCGACGTCTGATCTTGGCCAGTAGCTGCTGTGACCGAGTCACCAAGATGACCACAGCAGGACCCTTCACATGTGGCCTCAAGCTCGGCCAGGTCCAGCAGTCACGTCGTGAAGGCAGTGTGTGCCTCTCGGCCGGCACAGGAGGGGCCCATCGAGTTCATGGATGGGATTTCACTGCATCCCAGGAAAAGGCTGGGCTGGGCTTCTTGAGGCAGGCCCTGGCAGATGTAATGAGCTTGGTGAGGATGACACAGTCCTCTAACAACCCTGCCTCAGCGCCCCATCCCCCGCTTCCCTGGGAGCTTTCTCATTCTTTCCCTTCAGATGTTATCTTTGGGCCACCCGGCACTATTTTTGGAATAGGGAATTTGAAAATAAAATACAAATAAACCAACCTTTTGAACTGTAAGGTGTGTGGCGGTGGGGGAGGGGAGTGTATTTTTAAAAAAAAAACAAGGATGACAGAACACAAAACAAGTGAGATAATTGGTTGGACGGCATCAGTCCGCCTTGCCCTGCCCTGGTATTCGAGACGGATAGTTGCATGGAGTTCCAAGGTAGAACAGCTTCCTGAGTGCCTGCAGAGACACTGTCACCTCTGTGCCCACAACACCAAACAACCTAGAGGGCCAGCTGTGGTCAGGCCTGAAGCTTTGTGGAGCTGAATTCCTATATGTCAACATCCTGTCTCCCGATCTGCTGTGAGAGAATCTGGCACGGGACGTCCTCTGTGAAGGCTGGCTGGAGTCCAGGAGCAGCAAAGTGTGGCTACCCCAAAGGCTGGAGGCAGAGAAGCCAGGCAGCTCCCTCAGAATACCAACGACATGAGGGAAAATGAATGTCTTCAGGCCCTGAAGCAAGGCCCTGGTGTGGTACAGAAACTGTCCTCCAGAGAGCAGCCCGGATCCGGGGCTGGCATCATCCTTCCCTGCAGGCAATTACTCTCACCGGAGGTAATAATCAATCGCAGCAGAGAAAGCAGCAAAACCTCCACAACCAATGGCCCCAGCCTTTAAGCCAGCTGTCAAACAAACAGAAAGAACATGACCTGTGGTGACAGCTGCTGGGTCACGAGGCACTCACGGAAAGTTGGCACACCCTCAGTGTCATGAAATGAGCTTAAGCACTGTAAGTCATTCAAACGATCATAGCTCTGGAAGACATCAATGAAGCAGTGTATATGATCTAATCCAGTGCGCTTTATCTAACTACATTTGTTTAGCTTTTCTCCTTCAAAGGGTATTTCTAGTCTTAGGGAAATAGCCCCTCGCAGGCAGGAAACTGGTTGAGAGAAGCAGCCCTCGGAATCAAATGAAAGCATATGGCCTTGACCCTGATTTGTTTATGGAATACATTCCTGGGAAGGTGATCAAAGCAGTACTGGAGACAGCAGAGCTTCTCAAAGAGGCCCTGGTGAAGCTGAACAATGGGACGACCGGC
Source organism: Homo sapiens (assembly GCF_000001405.40). Classification (NCBI taxonomy): domain Eukaryota; kingdom Metazoa; phylum Chordata; class Mammalia; order Primates; family Hominidae; genus Homo; species Homo sapiens. The sequence continues at coordinate 39,839 of NT_187664.1, read as the reverse complement.
GGAGAAGTCAGTCCGTCATCATAAATGGTGCTTGAGGAGCAAAACCAGGTTTCATGACAGCAAATCATCCTGTCTCTCAGAAGATGAGAAAACTGGCTTTTTGCTCTGGGTAAGTTAGGGCATGACAGATGGAAAGTGGCCCAGTGATAAAACACTGCTGCTTCTAGGAAAGTCAAGTCACCAAGGCCCTCCACCACGCTCTGAATGGACATGCCAACGGGGAGAAGAGGCAGCAAATTGGTTTTCTTTTTTTTTTTTTTTTTGCAGCTGATAATCTAATATTTCTAGAATATCTGTACTTAGCATTCAATGGGTAGAAATCAGAATCCCCAAGGGCAGAAAGATATTACCATTATAATTTATATCTAAAATTAAAAGACAATTGTCTAGAATTACTGAGAAAAATGTTGGCCACACGTGGTGGCTCATGCCTGTAATCCCAGCACTTTGGGAGGCTGAGGCAGGCAGATCACGAGGTCAGGAGTTCGAGACCAGGTGAAATTGATCTCTACTAAAAAAATAAAAATTAGCTGAGCATGGTGGCGGGTGCCTGTAATCCCAGCTACCTGGGAAGCTGAGGCAGGGGAATCGCTTGAACCCAGGAGGTGGAGGTTGCAGTGAGCTGACATCGTGCCACTGCACTCCAGCCTGGGCGACAGAGTGAGATTCGGTCTCTTTAAAAAAAAAAAAGTTGTTACAACGGACGGGGGTGCTACTTGCATCTCGTGGGTAGAGGCCAGGGATACTGCTCAACGTCTTAGAATGCACAAAACAGACCCAATCCCGACAAAGATTCGTCTGGTCGAAATGTCAGTAGTGCCAACGATGGGAAACCCTCATCTAGATCCTACAAGTTTCCAAAACCGAGTTACCACAGAAACAAACATGATTTATTTGTCAGAGGGAAGAAGATCAAGTGTCCCTGGAACACTCGTGTGTTTGGAAATGACAACCTCAGCACGTTGTCCAAGGCCACAAAGAAAAAGCATTCGAGAGCCGTTTACTAACCTCTGAAACCAATAGCTCCTCCCGTGATGCAGCCACTGATGACACTGTTCTTCCAGTCTGATGTTCCCCGGTACTGTGGGCAGGGAAGTACACGTTAGAGCCAAAGAAACAAGCCAAGGCAGACCATTAAGGAGGAATACACAGGGTTGCTCGTTAGCTCATTCAGTCCCTACCCAAAGGAAACCTAATCTTTCTTGAAAATATAGTTCCTAAGTATACAGCGTGTATATATATATATATATATATATATATATATATATAGTATGCGTTCATAGATGCTTCCTGCAGGTGGCACCAGAGTGCTGAAACCAAGCCCAGCATTTGGAATGTAATCAAAATTTCTTCAAGGGGCTCTCCAATAAGTCTCGTTTAAAATCATTAGCTAACTTCTAGCCTACAAAAAGTAAAAAATAATGCAAGCCCATACTGTAAACACACACAAAGTCTGCCACAGGGACTATTTTATGGAAGTTCAACCTAGAATGTATCTGATGCTTCTGATTTGCTTTCTAGTAACAACTTTCAAATGACTTTTAAAGAGCAATTTCTCTTTAAAAGTAATGAAATGGTGGCCCCAGCAAGGATTTCTTAGAAGGCAGAGACACTTACAGATTCTATCAAACACTCAGTACAAGAAAACATGGCTCCCACAATGGCGAAATTTTTGGCATAGGACATTCCTCTCTGCCCCATGTCTTTCAGCACTTCTTTTGCAGTCGGTGTACGGTAAGGATCCTTAGGGTCAAAGCCCACGTTGGTATCGATGCCAGCGGTAAACACCCCAAATGCACCTCCTAAGACAAATCCTAGAAGCAAACACAGAGATGAAGGTGTCTTTGGCATGTTTTCTGCATTACTCTATTGGGATCATCCTGGAAGGGACCATGCTTTTGGATGACCACCGGTGCAGAGGACACCCCCCTCTTGCCACTCAAACTCTCCACTTGCCTGGAGACTTGCAATCCAGGGTCTATGTTACTGACATCATCTTCTCCGTCTCTAAGATTTCTTCCTCCTGTCATTCCCTAACATTTCTCAAGATTCCATCTTTAACCCTCTATTCTCTCTACATTCTCTCATATGTAAACCAGCCACCCTCAACTTCAGCTATCAACTTTGCAAATCACTCTCTTGGCCACTGTGACATTCACAGTAATGCTTTACTGAGCACATGCCAGTATGCCACAGCCTCATTCATTCTTCACAATAATCCAGTGAGACAGATGCTATTAGCCTCTCCTTTCTATAAACTGAGGCTCAGAGAGGTTAAGCAACTTCTCCCAAGGCCACACAGCTACCTAATGGCAAATCCCACACTGCTGCCACATCTGTCCTTCCTGAGCCGGCTGGACATGTCCAGATGGATGCCCTCTCATGACCTCATGGTCAATATGAGTTTAATAAAATCATGGGCACCTCCCCTTCAACTTAAGGGAAAAACAGAAGGACAAGTGCAGACTTCGTCTCTCCTTGCTCGGGGCTGTCTAGTCACAATGGTCTTTCAGTTTTTCAAACCTCAAACAACTGCTGCCCTAGAGTCGTCTGCATGTGCATTTCCATATGTCTGCATCCTTCCTCTGCAGTGTTCCTGCTCAACATTCTTCTCCACATAGTATAATACAGGCCCCATGAAGACCAGGCTCTTGTCTCTTTCACCTGGCACGTGATATTGCTTAGGAACAATTTGTTGAAAGAATTATTTAAGAGAATGAATTTAAGGGAATGAACGGATGAATGAAGTCACCCACGTAATAACTTTTTGTTGTTGTTTTTGAGACGGAGTCTCGCTCTGTCGCCCAGGCTGGAGAGCAGTGGCACATCTCGGCTCACTGCAAGCTCCGCCTCCTGGGTTCAAGCGATTCTCCTGCCTCAACCTCCCGAATAGCTGGGACTACAGGCGCCCACCACCACGTCCAGCTAATTTTTTGTATTTTTAGTAGAGACGGGGTTTCACCGTGTTAGCCAGGATGTCATGTAATAACTTTCAGGCCCCAACCACAGCACCGATTCTCTAACCCAATTTTCATCAGGAAAGCCGGCCTGAGGGGGCAGGAGAGGTGACGCCCGATTCACGAACGAGGCGAGGGTGTGGTCAAGGTCAAGGCCCGCAGTCCCTCGCCTCCCAGGCGCGTGGTCTTCTCGGCAGAGATCCCCACTGCCGTCCAGGCCCTCAGCCTCCCAAGGGTCCCATCGCCCGGCCTCACCTCCCACGCAGGCCAGCGCAGCCTTGAAAGCGCAGCTTTCCATCGCCTTCTCGATCATCTTCTGCTCCTCACTCTTGGCTGGACTTGGGATCCCGCCCAGGCTCCCAGGCTCCAGGAGCCGGGGCTGACGCTTGTCACCCACCAGGTACTGCAGGAGCAGGCTGTACTGCAGCGGAGCTTCGGCGGAACCCGCTGTCTCAGGGGCCGAGCCTCCGGCATTGGGGGCGGCCGCCGCCATGACAGTCGCTGCCCAAGCAACCCTCGCGTCCTTCTCCCCGCAGCAGATTCGACAAGCGTCACGTTGCGGGCCCTGAGACTAGCCACTGTGATGCAACGGCAGATTCGCCGCAGGAGGAAGCCGCGGCCGCAACGCTCCTGGTGCGCACACCAGCGAGACCGCTATCATGTTTCCAAAAAGAAAGCCTCTTGTGAAAATGGAATTGGGCTTGGACAGCTTTCCCCATGTCACAGACAAACGAGATTCAGATTCACCAGAAAGCGCCCTCACGGTCGGGGCTGCAGCGCGGTGAGTACCGGGATTTGTAGTTCTAATCCGACACCCAACTACATTTCCCAGGAAGCGTTGCGCGTGCTCTCGCGCCTCGGCCCCGCGCGGGGCTCTTACGAGCTCCTGAGGGGAGCGAGGAGTGGCCGCGCGCTCCGGGGCTGCCGTGCTCCGGATCGCCGGGAGGGGACGCGCGAGCATTGTCGCTGCCCTTTCCACCTCGTGCTGTCATCGGGCGGTGAGGCGTTAAATCCCGTGGTCCCGGAAGGTGCGGTGAGAGGTGGATGCTTTGTAGATAAGCGTGAACTTGTGCTGTAAATGCACGGACCGGGCGCGGGGGCTCACGCCTGTCATCCAGCACTGTGGGAGGCCGAGGCCGGTGGATCACGAGGTCAGGAGTTCGAGACCAGTCTGACAAACATGGTGAAACCCCATCTCTACTAAAAATTAAAAAAATAAAAAATAAAAAAATTAGCTGGGCATGGTGGTGCACGCCTGTATTCTCAGCTACTTAGGAGGCTGAAGCAGGAAACCCCGTCTCTACTAAAAATATAAAAATTAGCCAGGTGGCGGCAGGCGCCTGTAATCTCAGTTACTCGGGAGGCTGAGACAGGAGAATCTCTTAAACCCGGGAGGTGGAGGTTGCAGTGAGCCAAGATCGCACCATCGCACTCCAGCCTGGGCGACAAGAGCAAGACTCCGTCTCAAAAAAAAAAAAAAAAAAAAAAAAATCCTAACTGACAGCATTTGCTGACTTGTGTGGTGTTAATATCCCCATCATGGCTGATTTCAAACTACCAAGCGAGGTCATCAGTCAGAATTGGGAAGACGTACAGCAGCATGTGGTTACATGGTGTTTCTATCACACAGATACAATCTATGGAAATAACCTCAACAGCATAGATAGGAGTACAGTGTAGTAAAATTTTTAGGAGGGGATGAGTTTTGAGCACATATTACCTATTTTTAGTGTAATTTATTATAAATGTATAGAATGTAATTTTTAATAATAACTGTGCTTAACAACCAGCTCAAAAACTCCTGATAATTTGTTGCCTTACTTTTTAAAATTACTCTTTTGAGACAGAGTCTTGCTCTGTCACCCAGGTTGGAGTGCAGTGGTGCAATCTCCGCTCACTGCAACCTGCACCTCCCGGGTTTGAGCGATTCTCCTGCCTCAGCCTCCCGACTAGCTGGGATTACAGGCACATGCCACCATGCCCGGCTAATTTTTGTATTTTTAGTAGAGACAAGGTTTCACCATGTTGGCCAGGCTGGTCTCAAACTCCTGACCTCAGGTGACCCACCCACCTCGGCCTCCCAAAGTGCTTGGATTCCAGGCGTGAGTCACTGCGCCCGGCCAGTTAGGGCCTTTTTGTTATTGTTGTTAAACATTTACCATTATACCACTGCACTGCAAGCATATTTTGGGAACCAAGAACACTTCCTCCTCTTTGAGGAAACCAGAATTGGGGCCTGGAGGCAGAGAAATTGGGAATGGATTTCTGGTCATATCCAGGAAAATCCTAGGGGATGTTGGAGAGAGGTTTTCAGTCCCAAGAATGCTAACACTTTGGCATCATTTTGTACTCCTCGTATGAACAAAACGTGGCCTGGGAACACCTCTGGGCATTTAAGCACACTTTTTGCTAATGGCCTGAAGGCAGTGCCGTAGCAAGCATCTGCCTACTTGGGCCAGGGACTCTCAGAAGATGTTGATCGGAAAAGATTCCTCTGCTGGGCATGGTGGCTCACACCTGTAATCCCAGCACTTTGGGAGGCTGAGGCAGGAAAATTGCTTGAGTCTGGGAAGTTGAGACTGCAGTGAGTCATGATCGTGCCACTGCACTCCAGCATGGACGAGGGAACGAGACCCTGTCTCAAAAAAAAGAAAAAAAAAAGATTAAGTAAACAGTGGTCATTTTATTCAGAGGGCTGAAAAACAATTTCCATCAAGGGCTGCGAAAGGGCTGGGGTGTTCCATAGCCCAGGAGCCTCACAGGTATGTCTGAGTTGTAAGAGGAAGTGAAGTGTCCTTCTTTTAAGGGTCTTGGCTGGGCGCGGTGGCTCACACCTGTAATCTCAGCACTTTGGGAGGCTGAAGCAAGGTCAAGAGATCGAGACCATCCTGGCCAACATGATGAAACCCTGTCTCTGCTAAAAATACAAAAATTAGCTAGGCATAGTGGCTGCACCCCTGTAGTCCCAGCTACTCAGGAGGCTGAGGCAGCAGAATCGCTTGAACCCACGAGGCGGAGCTTGCAGTGAGCCGAGATGGTGCCACTGTACTCCGGCCTGGAGACAGACGGAGACTCCGTGTCAAAAAAAAGAAAAAAAAGGTGGGGGTTGGGTCTTTGGGGTCCCAGAGAAGAAATGGGTGGGACCTAAGGAGCCATACTGGAAACCATACTTTTGGGACATGTTGCCCGAGATGAGGATGGAATACCCCACCCGGCAGAAATGGAGACCAGACAGCTGCACAGTCTTATGTGAGGGTGGATTATGTGAGGTGGATTATGTGAGGGTGGATTATGTGAGGGGTGGATTATGTGAGGGTGGATTATGTGAGGTGGATTATGTGAGGTGGATTATGTGAATGTGGGTGGATTATGTGAGGGTGGATTATGTGAGGGTGGATTATGTGAGGGTGGATTATGTGAGGGTGGATTATGTGAGGTGGATTATGTGAGGGTGAATTATGTGAGGGTGGATTATGTGAGGTGGATTATGTGAGGGTGGATTATGTGAGGTGGATTATGTGAGGGTGGATTATGTGAGGTGGATTATGTGAGGTGGATTATGTGAGTGTGGATTATGTGAGGGTGGGTGGATTATGCGAGGTGGATTATGTGAGGTGGATTACGTGAGGGTGGATTATGTGAGGGTGGATTATGTGAGGGCGGATTATGTGAGGTGGATTATGTGAGGGTGGGTTATGTGAGGGGTGGATTATGTGAGGTGGATTATGTGAGGTGGATTATGTGAGGGGTGGATTATGTGAGGTGGATTATGTGAGGGTGGATTATGTGAGGTGGATTATGTGAGGGTGGATTATGTGAGGTGGATTATGTGAGGTGGATTATGTGAGGTGGATTATGTGAGTGTGGATTATGTGAGGGTGGATTATGTGAGGGTGGATTATGCGAGGTGGATTATGTGAGGGTGGGTGGATTATGCGAGGTGGATTATGCGAGGTGGATTATGTGAGGTGGATTATGTGAGTGTGGATTATGCGAGGGTGGATTATTTGAGGGTGGATTATGTGAGGCGGATTATGTGAGAGTGGATTATGTGAGGGTGGATTATGTGAGGGTGGATTATGTGAGGTGGATTATGTGAGGGTGGATTATGTGAGGGTGGATTATGTGAGGGTGGATTATGTGAGGTGGATTATGTGAGGGTGGATTATGTGAGGGTGGATTATGTGAGGTGGATTATGTGAGTGTGGGTGGATTATGTGAGGTGGATTATGTGAGGGGTGGATTATGTGAGGGTGGATTATGTGAGGTGGATTATGTGAGGTGGATTATGTGAGGGTGGATTATGTGAGGGTGGATTATGTGAGGTGGATTATGTGAGGGTGGAGTGGCTCTTAGCTTTTCTCTCTGAATCACTTTCCCCACAAGAGGACATTTATCGTCTGGCCTGGTCTGACAGATGGAATAAGGCTTGACGTCGCTGGCTGCAGCAGATGGAAACAAGGCAGGGGGCGTGGGGCCTCCAGCCGTGAGTCGTGGGTTCCCACGGGCAGCCGGTGATAAAGAGCACTCCAGGCTCCGGATGGGGTCCTCCAGGCCCAGCCCTGAGCACCGTCGGTCCCTCCCTTCTGTCTCCACAGTGAAGGGCACGTAATAGCATCATCTGTTCATCTTCATAGAGTATTGGCCTGGTGAGGGGCTGGGCTTACTGGAGGTCCGTGAGGCTGTCCTAAACCATCACTGAGAACCAGGTGGTTAAGCTGCTGAGCGCAGAGTTAGTTTCTGACTCAGAAAGGTCTGAGGTGGGTGTGAAATTTTGGATTTCCCAGGTGATGCTACTGCTGGTTGGGGACCACATTTTTTTTTTCTTTTTTCTGAGATGGAGTCTCGCTCTGTCGCCCAGGCTGGTGTGCAATGGTGCGATCTCAGCTCACTGCAACCTCCATTACCCAGCTTTAAGTGATTCTCCTGCCTCAGCCTCCTGACCCCAGCTACAGGCGTGAGCCACCACGCCCAGCTAATTTTTTTGTATTTTTAGTAGAGACGGAGTTTCACCATGTTGGCCAGGCTGCTCTTGAACTCCTGACCTCAAGTGATCTGCCCGCCTTGGCCTCCCAAAGTGCTGGGATTACAGATGTGAGCTGCCACACTCAGACCCTTGTGAACTTTTGCTAGTAATTCTTTTTTCTTCTCACAACACTCCACTCATGCCCCTCAGCTCTGTCTTTAAATATTCCTGCCCTTCAAAACTTACCTTTTCTGATTAATCTAATTGGAAGTAATGTCTTCTCTGAGCCTCTTTTTTTCTTTTTGAGACAGGGTCTTTCTTTGTGGCCCAAACTGGAGTGCAGTGGCCCCATCATGGCTCACTGCAGCCTCGATCTCCTGGGCTCAAGGGATCCTCCTACCTCGACCCTGCCAAGTAGCTGGGACCATGGGCATGTACCACCATGCCGGGGTAATGGGCTAATGTTTTTTTTTTTTGAGATGGAGTCTTGCTCTGTTGCCCAGGCTGGAGTGCAGTGGTGTGATCTCGGCTCAGTGCAAGCTCCGCCTCCTGGGTTCACGCCATTCTCCTGCCTCAGCCTCCCGAGTAGCTGGGACTACAGGCGCCCGCCACCACGCCCAGCTAATTTTTTGTGTTTTTAGTAGAGACGGGGTTTCACCGTGTTAGCCAGGATGGTCTCGATCTCCTGACCTCGTGATCCGCCCACCTCAGCCTCCCAAAGTGCTGGGATTACAGGTGTGAGCCACCGTGCCCCGGGCTAACTTTTAAAAACCTTTTTTATAGAAACTGGTTCTTACTCTGTTGCCCAGACTGGTCTCAAACTCCTGGGCTCAAGCAATCCTCCCACCTCAGCCTCCTAAAGTGCTGGGGTTACAGGTGTGAGCCACCGTGCCCCGGGCTAACTTTTAAAAACCTTTTTTACAGAAACTGGTTCTTACTCTGTTGCCCAGACTGGTCTCAAACTCCTGGGCTCAAGCAATCCTCCCACCTCAGCCTCCCAGAGTGCTGGGGTTACAGGTGTGAGCCACCGCACCGGCCTCTTAATTAATAGGCTCTTAACTGGTTTTGGAGCCTCCTACCTTGCTCTTCTCCAAACTATTCACAGAATGATCTTCCCACACAGGACTGTGAACGTGCTCCCTGCTCTGGATTCTACTTCATGCCAGGATAAAATCTGAACTCAACGTGTTGCTTTTACAACTAGTGCCCAGGAAGACACAGGTGCTTCCGTCCAGGTTTAGTTCTTTTTTTTTGAGACAGAGTCTTGCTTCTTCACCCAGGCTGGAGTGCAATGGTGAGATCTCGGCTCACTGCAACCTCTGCCTCCCGGGTTCAGCAGTTCTCCTGCCTCAGCCTCCCAAGTAGCTGGGATTACAGTCATGTGCCAGCACGCCCGGCTAATTTTTTGTATTTTTAGTAGAGATGGGGTTTCACCAGGCTGACAAGAATGGTTTTGAACTCCTGACCTCAAGTGATCTGCCCGCCTTGGCCTCCCAAAATGCTGGGATTACAGGTGTGAGCCACTGTGCCTGGCCTAGGGGTACAAGTTATAATCCTCAGATTTGATCTGAAAAGTATTGGGATTACAGGCATGAGCCACCGTGCCCAGCCTAGGGGTATGAATTATAATCCTCAGATCTGATCTGAAAAGTATTGGAAGCAGATAGAAAAATGCACAGTGTTTTCTCCAGCACTTTACACTTCTACAAGAAAGTCAGAAAAGAGTTAGGAAAGTTGTTTAGGAACTAGAGACTAATGGCCGGGCATGGTGGCTCATGCCTGTAATCCCAGCACTTTGGGAGGTCAAGGCAGGAGGATCACTTGAGCCCAGGAGTTCAAGACCAGCCTCGGCCACATAGTGAGACTGTGTCTCTACAAAAAAATACAAAAATTAGGCTGGGTTTGGTGGCTAACACCTGTAATCCCAGCACTTTGGGAGGCCGAGGCAGGCAGATCACGAGTTCAGGAGATCGAGACCATCCTGGCTAACATGGTGAAACCCTGTCTCTATTAAAAATACAAAAAATTATCCAGGCATGGTGGCGGGTGCCTGTGGTCCCAGCTACTCAGGAGGCTGAGGCAAGAGAATGGCGTGAACCCAGGAGGTGGAGCTTGCAGGAGCTTGCAGATCACGCCATTGCACTCCAGCCAGGGCAACAGAGCAAGACTCCGTCTCTAAAAAAACAAAAAATACAAAAATTAGCTCGGCATGGTGACATGTGCCTGTAGTCCCAGCTACTTGGGAGGCTGAGGTGGGAGGATTGCTTGAGCCCAGGAGGTCAAGGCTTCAGTGAGCCATCATCGTACCACTGCACTCCAGCCTGGGCGACAGAGTGAGAACCATCTCAAAAAAGAAAAACAAAAAAGCAACCCAGAGACCAGACTTGTCCTGCTTTGCTAAGGGATAAAAGGAATAATAGAAAGAATAATAAATCACGGTGGCTCCCCAAAGTTATATATCAAGTTGGTGCCAGAAAGATCTGCACCACACTTCTGCCATAGCCAGTGAGAACAACGATCTTCTCCCCCTTTCTTCGTCTTGATCCTTGTCAGATCTCGCCTCCATATTCTGCTGTATGCACTTCTCTATCAGGTAATTTCATTTATTAGTGGATCTGCCACAAAATACCGACTTTTTAAAAAGGAAAATATAAAACAGACATTAAAGCTTATAATACAGGCCGGGTGCGGTGGCTCACACCTGTAATCCCAGCACTTTGGGAGGCTGAGGCGGGCGGATCACCTGAGGTCAGGAGTTCAAGACCAGCCTGACCAACATAGTGAAACCCTGTCTTTACCAAAAATGCAAAAATTAGCTGGTGGTGGCGGGCGTCTGTAGTCCCAGCTACTCTGGAGGCTGAGGCAGGAGAATGGCGTGAAACCGGGAGGCGGAGCTTGCAGTGAGCCGAGATTGTGCCATTGCACTCCAGCCTGGGCGACAGAGCGAGACTCTGTCTCAAAAAAAAAAAAAAAAAAAAAAGAATTACAAATGGGGCCGGGTGCAGTGGCTCATGCCTATAATCCCTGCAGTTCAGAAGGCCAAGCCGGAGGATCCCTTGAAGTCAAGAGTTCAAGACCAGCCTGGGCAGCATAGTGAGACCTCTATCTCTAAAAAAAAAAAAAGAAAGAAAGAAAGAAAATAAATTAGCCGGGCATGGTGGAGTGCACCTGTAATTCCAGCTATGCGGGAGGCTGAGGTGGGAGGATCACTTGAGCCCAGGAGTTGGAGGCTGCAGTGAGCCATGATCACAGCACTATACCCAGCCTGGGTGACAGAGCAAGACCCCATTTCTTTTTTTTTTCCTTTTTTTTTTTTTTTTGAGATGGAGTCTCACTGTGTCACCAGGCTGGAGTGCAGTGGTGTGATCTCGGCTCACTGCAACATCCGCCTCCCGGGTTCAAGCGATTCTCCTGCCTCAGCCTCCTGAGTAGCTGGGATTACAGGCATCCACCACCACACCCAGCTAGTTTTTGTATTTTCAGTAGAGACGGGGTTTCACCATGTTGGCCAGGATGGTCTCAATCTCTTGACCTCGTGATCCACCCACCTCGGCCTCCCAAAGTGCTGGGATTATAGGCGTGAGCCACTGCACCTGGCCAAGACCCTGTTTCTTTAAAAAAAAAAAAAAAGACAAGTTGTAGGTTAGTATTTCCTACCTCTTCTGCACCCTCCTTTCTCTTGTGCTACGTCTTAAAGATACCCCATGTCAGAGTGTGTGATGGGCAATTGTGTGTGCCAACTTGACTGGGCCGTTTAGTGTCCAGATATTTAACGGCAACTCAATCCTCATTTGGGCGTGTTAGCCTGACCTAGTTATAGAGCAACCTGAAAATCTGCTAGCTTTGAGAGGGACCAGAGCGAGAGAACGCACTGTAGCAGGTTCCGACTGTGATGCAAGCTGCTCTCCACGTGGGCCACGTGATCCAGCTGATCCAGTGATGCTTGAAGAGACCGTGGCAGACAAGGATGCTGTTTGCAGCCTTTGGCAGGCCCCGTAGGTGAATCGCAGAGCAAGCCTGTAGGATTTTGGAGCAAAGCTCTGCCATCCTGTGGACAGTACTCTCCTTTTGAGACACAGCTTTTGGACTGCTACTGGGCCTTCTTGGAGACTGATGCTTAGCCATGGGCCACGGAGTTACCATGTGGCCTGAGCTGCCCGTCGTGAACTGGAGGTTCTCTGACCCATCAAGCCATACAGTTGGGTGTGCACAGCAGCACCGTGCTTCACCATCTAATGGAAATAGTATACACGTGACTGGGCCCAAGCAGGCCCTGAAGGCACCAGGAAGTTAGATGGAGAAGCAGCTTCAAAGGCCCTTGGTTCCCACTGCCACGACTCCACCCTGCCTTCCCTTTCCCAGCCTGCACCTCTAGCATCATGGGGAGTCCTCCATGATCAGCTGACAGAGAAAGCGAAGACTCACATCCCAGTTTGCAGATGGTTCTGTACGACGTGCAGTCTCCGCCCGAAACTGAGCAGCTGTTGCCCTCCAGCCTCTTCCTTGGACATTCCCGAAGGACAGCGGTGGGGGCAGATCCTCCCGGTGGGCAGACGTTGGCGCAGTGCACCTGGTTGTTGGTTGTGCTTGGAAGGAGAAATGGCTGGACGTGAGAGCACACACCGATTCACCGACCGTAGCCAATGATTTGCCTGGAGAGTCAGGGACTTGGAAGGAACATGATTGGAAAATTAGTGACAAGGAAACCGAGGGAACTGAGAGAAGAGGTATGTGGGCAAAAACCGGACGATACGTGTGTCCCATGTAAATGCTCGCCAAAGGGTGGCCTCACCAGGGAAGAGTTCGAATCTTCAAGCGATAGGATGGCCCGTTCTCTGGGTGCTGCTCAGCCTCTCTCCCCCGACACCACAGTTAGTGCCCAGTGGGCTCATGAACAAAGTGGCCATGGGGGGCAGGGATAAAGGTTATTCATGGGCTCACAGCACAGACTGTTACTCACTATGGCCATCCTGGCTGCAGCCATGGCTGAAAGCCCCATCTGCCAGCAACAGAGACCAACCCTGAGCCCCTGAAATGATGCCATTCCCTGGGGTGATCAGCCAGCGACCCAGTGACCCCATTCCCTGCGGTGATCAGCCAGCAACCCGGTGACCCCATTCCCTGGGGTGATCAGTCGGTGACCCCATTCCCTGGGGTGATCAGCCAGCGACCCAGTGACCCCATTCCCCGGGGTGATCAGCCGGTGACCCCAATCCCTGGGGTGATCAGCCAGTGACCCCATTCTCTGGGGTGATCAGCCAGCGACCTGGTGACCCCATTCCCTGGGGTGATCAGTTGGTGACCCCATTCCCTGGGGTGATCAGCCAGCGACCCGGTGACCCCATTCCCTGGGGTGATCAGCCGGTGACCCCAATCCCTGGGGTGATCAGCCAGTGACCCCATTCTCTGGGGTGATCAGCCAGCGACCCGGTGATCCCATTCCCTGGGGTGATCAGTTGGTGACCCCATTCCCTGGGGTGATCAGCCAGTGACCCGGTGACAGGTTGGTGACACTGGATCACTTCCATCACGGAAGGGGCAGCATTTTGTCCTCACTGGAATAGACACTTACTCTAGATCGGGATTTGCCTTCCCTGTACGTCACGCTCCTGCCAAAACTAGCATCCGTGGACTCACAGAATGCCGTACCTACTGTCACGGTATGCCACACCGCACTGCTTCTGTCTGAGGAACTCCCTTCACAGCAAAGAAAGTATGGTAACGAGCCCATGCTCATGGAATTCCCCGGTACGACCATGTTGCCCACCATCTTGAAGCAGCTGGTTTGATAAGATGGTGGAATGGCCTTTTGAAGACTCCACTACAGCACCAGCTGGGTGGCGATGCCTTGCAGGGCTGGGCCAGAGTTCTGCAGGAGGCAGTATATGCTCTGAATCAGAACTGAGTGTAGGGTGCTGTTTCTCCCACAGCCAGGATTCATGGGTCCGGGAATCAAGGGGTGGCAATGAGAGGGGCACCAGTCCCTAGCACTCCTAGTGACCCAGCAGCAAGATGTTTGTTTCCTGTTCACGTGACCTTATGCTCTGCTGGCCTAGGGGTCGTATTTCCAAATGGAGGAATGTTTCCCCCAGAAGACCCAACAGTGGTGCCATTGAACTCCAAGTGAGGACTTCTGCTGGGCCTGTTTGGCCTCCCACTGCCTCTGAATCAACAGGCAGATAAGAGAGTTACTGTGCTGGCTGGGGTGATTGATCCTAGATTGGACCACAAGTCCACAATTGAGGTGAGCAAGAGTATGTCTGGAATAGAGGCCCCTCAGGGTGTCCTAGTAGACCATGGCCTATGATTTAGGGCAATGGAAAAACCACAAGAATTCAATCCAGGCAGGACTACCAAGGGCCCAGACCTTTCAGGAATGAAAGTTTGGGTCACCCACCAGGAAAAGACCCACAACCAGCTGAGGTGCTTACTGAAAGCAAAGGGAATACATAATGGATAGTGAAAGGTCATTATAAATACCAGCCACAACCCATGGCCAGTTACAGAAACACGGGCTGGAATGATCATGGATATTTCCTACTTGTTTTGTTAGGAATACGTTTCTCTGTGTTTATATACTGGCAAACCTCAAGATATTGCAGCTCTGGTTCCAGATTACAACAATAAAACTAATATCACAGGCCAGGCGCAGTGGCTCACACCTGTAATCCCAGCACTTTGGGAGGCTGAGGTGAATGGATCACCTGAGGTCAGGAGTTTGAGACCAGCCTGGCCAACATGGTGAAACACTGTCTCTACTAAAAATACAAACAAAATAGCTGGGCGTGGTGATACGCACCTATAATCCCAGCTACTCATGAGGCTGAGGCAGGAGAATGGCTTGAACCAGGAAGGCAGAGGTTGCAGTGAGCCAAAATCACGCTATTGCACTCCAGCCTGGACAACGAATGAAGCTTCATCTCAAAAAACAAAAACAAAAACAAAACAGCTGGGCGTGGTGGCTCACACCTGTAATCCCAGCACTGTGGGAGGCCGGGGCGGGTGGATCACGAGGTCAGGAGATCGAGACCATCCTGGCTAATATGGTGAAACCCTGTCTATACTAAAAATACAAAAATTAGCCGGTCGTCCTGTCAGGTGCCTGTAATCCCAGCTACTTGGGAGGCCGAGGCAAGAGAATGGCATGCACCAGGGAGGCGGAGCTTGCAGTGAGTGGAGATGGCACCACCACACTCCAGCCTGGGTGACAGAGCGAGACTGCGCCTCAAAAAAAAAAAAAAAAAAAAAGATGCTAATGATCATTTGAGCCTTTAGCAAGTTGAAATCATTTTGCTGGTGGAGGGTCTTGCCTCAATATTGATGGCTGCTGGTGACTGATCAGGATGGTGGTTGCTGAAGGTTGGGTGGCTGTGGTAAAAGCGCTTAAAATCAGACTGCAGCGAAGCTTGCCGTATCCATCATCTCTCCCTCTCAAGAAAGATTTCTCTGTAGCGTGCGATGCTGTTTGATAGCATTTTACCCACAGTAGAACTTCTTTCAAAATTGGAGTCAGTCCTCTCAAACCTTACCGCTGCCTTATTAAGTTGACGTTCTAACTGTCTTTGCTCATCTACAAGAAGCAACTCCTCACCTGCTACAGTTTGGTCATGAGACTGCAGCCATCTCAGCCCCATCTTCAGGCTTCACCTCTCATTCTAGTTCTCATTGTTTCTACCGCATCCGCACTTTCTTCCTTCACGGAAGACACGTGTGATGGTTGGAATCAACTTCTTCCAAACTCCTGTTAACGTTGATATTTTGATCTTCTCCCATGAGTCACGAATGCTTTTTTTTTTTTTTTTTAAGAAAAAGTCTTGCTCTGTCACCCAGGCTGGAGTGCAGTGGCACAGTCATGGCTTACTGCAGCCTCGACCTCCTGGGCTCAATCGATCCTCCCACCTCAGCCTCCTGAGTAGCTGGGACCATGGGTGTGCGCCACCACACCCAGCTAATTTTTTAATTTTTAGTAGAGATGGGATTTTGCCATGTTGCTCAGGCTAGTCTTGAACTCGTGACCTCAGGTGATCCGCCCACCTTGGCCTCCCACAGTGCTGGGATTCCAGGCATGAACCACCGCGCCCGGCCCACATCATGTGTGCTACTCTTTCTAAAGTCCAAGGACTGTGATTTATGAATCTTAAAAGTGACAAATATATATTTGTGCTGTGTGTATTTCGTATGACTTCATGTGCCTTCAAAAGCAATTTCTGAAGAGAAAATTCTAATATGTTCTACAGAATGCGATACATGTTGAGGCTCATTCCTACATATTTTAAAACAATAATAATTTTCAGAATAGCCAAGTCGATTCATGTAACATCGCTAGCTGAACACCAGTGGGGACATTCTCCTTTAGAGAACCACATACACAGAGAGCAAGATTTCTGTAGCCCAGAGCACACTGGCTAATTCTTCACAGGATGCCAAATGACTCCTTGGGCTTCTTATAACACCCACTACAATTATGATTCTGGGATCATTTCCATTGCAAATCCCCTCTTTCCACACCCCTTTAAAAGGCAGCTGTGATATTTGGCCTCTAACCAAGGCCTGCCGCATCCACAATTCTCTAAATTTTATTTATATTTCATGTGCAGTGTGTTCGAACTCTCCCTTCCCCAGGTGCCAGATGCTGGTTTGGACACACTCCAGTGGAAAGTGCTTTCCTGTTAAATAAGACAAGTCACACATGGAAGAAACCTCCTCTTTATATCAGACTTGCACCAAGTATACCAAAGTTAATACTCGAATATTTGCAATATTTGCAGCCCCCCAAATTCCCTCTTCACCGGCCTCCACACCAAATGCCTCTTGCCCTTTGGCTGCCGTAGCAGGTAAATGCTGATAGCCCTTTTACATTTCTGTAGTTTTCATAATTTTGAAAGTGTCAGAGTGTAGGACTCTAACACTCTTTCAGTAGTGCCTAACCCACGTACCCAGTGCATGGGCCTTTCAGATAAGATTTGGATGAGATGATAAAACATTGTAACCCATTTACAGGATTTCAAAAGATGTCTAGTAACTATGTGTGTGTGTGTGTGTGTGTGTGTGTGTGTGTATATATATACTTTTTTTTTTTTTTTGAGATGGAGTCTCTCCCTGTCGCCCAGGCTGGAGTGCAGTGGTGCGATCTCGGCTCACTGCAAACTCCGCCTCCCGGGTTCATGCCATTCTCCTGCCTCAGCCTCCCGAGTAGCTGGGACTACAGGTGCCCGCCACCTCGCCCGGCTAATTTTTTGTATTTTTAGTAGAGACGGGGTTTCACTGTGTTAGCCAGGATGGTCTCAATCTCCTGATCTCATGATCTGCCCGCCTCGGCCTCCCAAAGTATTGGGATTACAGGTGTGAGCCACCTCACCTGGCCTAGTAACTTAATATATATGATATGAGTAGCTTTAAATGTTTTCACCAAGGCCGGGTGGTGGCTCATGCCTGTAATCCCAGAACTTTGGGAGGCTGAGGCGGGTGGATCACTTGAGGCCAGGAGTTTGAGACCAGCCTGGCCAGTATGGTGAAAACCCCGTCTCTATTAAAGATACAAAAAATTGGCCAGGCTTGGTGGCGGACGCCTGTAATCCCAGCTACTCCAGAGGCTGAGGCAGAGAATTGCTTAAACCTGGAGGGGCGGAGCTTGCAGTGAGCCGAGATCGCGCCACTGCACTCCAGCTTGGGCAACAGAGCAAGACTCTGTTGCAAAAAACAAACAAACAAAACAAAACAAAAAAATTAGTGCATGCCAGTAATCCCAGCTATTTGGGAGGTGGTGCATGCCTGTAATCCCAGCTACTCGAGAGGCTGAGGCAGGAGAATCACTTGAATCTGGTAGGCAGAGGTTGCAGGAGCTGAGATCGCACCACTGCACTCCAGCCTGGGCAACAGAGTGAGACTCTGTCTGTAGGGACCAGCCCCACAGGGTCAGTGGGTCTCTCCCCGTGTGCGGAGACGAGAGAGTGTAGAAATAAAGACACAAGACAAAGAGATAAAAGGCAGCTGGGCCTGGGGAACCACTACCACCAAGTCGCGGAGACCGGTAGTGGTCCCAAATGCCAGGCTGCACTGATATTTATTGGATACAAGACAAAGGGGCAGGATAAGGAGAGTGAGCCATCTCCAATGATAGGTAAGGTCATGTGGGTCACGTGTCCACTGGACAGGGGGCCCTTCCCTGCCTGGCAGCCGAGGCAGAGAGAGAGAGGAGACAAAGAGAGAAACAGCTTCCACCATTATTAGAGACTTTTAGTACTTTCACTAATTTGCTACTGCTATCTAGAAGGCAGAGCCAGGTGTACAGAATGGAACATGAAGGCGGACTAGGAGCGTGACCACTGAAGCACAGCATCACAGGGAGACAGTTAGGCCTCCGGATAATTGTGGGCGAACCTGCAGTCAGGCCCTCCACAAGAGGTGGAGGAGTAGAGTCTTCTCTAAACTCCCCCCGGGGAAAGGGAGACTCCCTTTCCCGGTCTGCTAAGTAGCGGGTGTTTTTCCTTGACACTTACGCTACCGCTACACCACAGTCCGCCTGGCCACGGGTGTCTTCCCAGACGCTGGTGTTACCGCTAGACCAAGGAGCCCTCTGGTAGCCCTGTCTGGGCATAACAGAAGGCTCGCACTCTTGTCTTCTGGTCACTCCTCACTATGTCCCCTCAGCTCCTATCTCTGTATGGCCTGGTTTTCCCTAGATTATGATTATAGAGCGAGGATCATTATAATATGGGAATAAAGAGTAATTGCTACAAACTAATGATTAATGATATTCATATATAAGCCTATCTAAGATCTATATCTGGTATAACTATTCTTATTTTATATTTTATTACACTGGAACGGCTTGTGTCCTCGGTCTCTTGCCTCAGCGCCTGGGTGGCCTGCCGCCCACACTGTCTCAAAATAAATAAATAAATAAATAAATAAATAAATAAAGTTTTCACTAAAAAGTGATGCTTTCTGTGTGTGTTTTATAATATTGTCCCTACAGTGGCACAGACTTTCAGCATGAAAGTCTCCTGAGAATTAAGGTGGAATTCGACTTTGCAGTAGGATTCTAGGGTGTTCGAAGGCGGTCCTCCATCTAAGATCTTACCTGTGTCATTAGCAATACCAGCAGGTGACTAAGGAAGTGGATATAACTTGTAGAGACGCCAGTCCACTTTCCGCTCCCATCTCCACCTCTCCCAATTGTTTTATATGGTAACATTTCACCAAGCTGGAACCCTGCACCATTCCTTATTCTACCCTAGAAAAACGGAGAACCTTCGATGTGAACACTTACGTTTTGTGCCAAAAGCTTGAAGTTCTATTCTGAGGTTTAAATTAGCTCCCGCAAAGCGTCCTATCATTTGTGTATGTGGAAAGCTGCTGTAAAATAAAAGCATTGTGCCTGGTGTCCCGGCAGTGTCTTTTCACAAATGGAGTTTGGTCGGCCTCATTTTTCACTCTTTCCATTAGGTGGCGATGGATGCACAGGAAATATCCTCCGAAGCGGCGGTGGAAGCTCTGAGAGGGGCGGGTTTTCAGCTTTTATTTTTTTGCTTTCGCTGAGTCGTCAGTAGCTGATCCACACCGGCGGCCTGTTACTGTGGCTGGGCCCGGATCTGCACCTGCTTCGTGCACCAGTGGGTTGGGTTGGGGGGAGGCGCTGCGTGGCCAGAGTACTCGCCACGGACCACCTGTTTTTTTGTTTTTTTTGAGACGGAGTCTTGCTCTGTTGCCCAGGCTGGAGTGCAATGGAGCGATCTCGGCTCACTGCAGCCTCCGTCTCCCGGCTTCACGCCATTCTCCTACCTCAGCCTCCTGAGTTGCTCGGATTACAGGTGCCTGCCACTACACCCCGCTAATTTTTGTATTTTTAGTAGAGGCGGGGGGGGGGTGTCACCATATTGGCCAGGCTGGTCTCGAACTCCTGACCTTGTGATCCACCCACCTCGGCCTCCCAAAGTGCTGGGAATTCAGGCGTGAGCCACCGCGCCCGGCCCAGACCACCTGTTTAATCCAGCTTCTCCCTAAGCATTGGGGAGCATCCTGCCAGCTGGTAGGAAAAAAAAAATCTCTAGAAATGTTCTCAACTATCCATAGACTTGACATGAGGATGGAGCGGATTCAGGAGCGCGGCCAGCATTGGTCTGGAGGCCCCGCGGCGTCCTTTGCATCCATTTGTGGGGCTGGAAGACAGATTCGCTGGGGGGAGAGGCCCCGGCGACCCCTGGACGGAAATCCCACACTGAGACCTGGCACCCTAACCAGACCCCACCAGAAGCTGCGAGGGCGTCCTCGGCCCCCTTAGAACAGCTTGGAACACACAGAGGAGTCAGTGTCCAGCCAGGCCCGGCCTGATGCAGTGAGGACGGCGGGTCCTATAAGCATCTCAGGGTCAGTGGGGCCCGGAGCGGCCTAAGGGTCAGGCTTCGTGCAGGGAGAGGAGGAGGGAAAGGCCGGGGAGGAACAGGAAGAGGGTGAAGAGCTCCGCGGGGAGGGGGCGGGATCCCTGGAGGTCTGGAGGGAATTTAGAACTGGGGAGGAGAGAAAATGCGGGCCGGGCTGCAGCCCGGGAAAGCGCCGGCTCAGCGGGCCCTTCTCCTTTCTTCACTTCGGCCGTGGGCTTTCCAGGGAGAGTGCGGCGTTTCGGGTCCGGCTTCTCGCCCAAGCAGTCACCCCGCGCACCGCGGCCGGCAGCTGCGGACCCCGCCTGGGCGGAGAGCTCTGGCCACCGCCGGCCGCAAACGGGGCGTGGCGAGGGCGGAGGGGGCGTGGCGAGGGCGGGCGGAGGGGCGTGGCGAGGGCAGCCGAAGGGGCGTGGCGCGGGCCGCGGAGGGGGCGTGGCAGGGCGGGGGAAGGGGCGTGGCGCGGGCAGGCGGAGGGGGCGTGGCGTGGGCGGCCCTACTGGGCCGGGCTCTGCTCTCCCCAGCGCCTGCCGCCGACGCCGCCGCCTCCTCCCGCCGCGCGGACCGTGGAGCGGGGTCGCAGCCGCCTGCCCGCCCTGCGGTGGGCCAGGATGTCGGGCTTCCTGGAGGAGCTGCTCGGCGAGAAGCTGGTGACGGGCGGCGGCGAGGAGGTGGACGTGCACTCGCTGGGCGCCCGCGGCATCTCGCTGCTGGGTCTCTACTTCGGCTGCAGCCTCAGCGCCCCCTGCGCGCAGCTCAGCGCCAGCCTGGCCGCCTTCTACGGGCGCCTGCGGGGGGACGCGGCGGCCGGGCCGGGGCCGGGAGCGGGGGCCGGGGCGGCGGCGGAGCCCGAGCCGCGGCGGCGCCTGGAGATCGTCTTCGTGTCCTCGGACCAGGACCAGCGGCAGTGGCAGGACTTCGTGCGGGACATGCCGTGGCTGGCGCTGCCCTACAAGGAGAAGCACAGGAAGGTGAGCGGCGCGGGCCTCGCCGGCCCCTGCCCGCCCCCCACGCCCGTTACCCCTGCCCGCCCCCCACGCCCGTTACCCCTGCCCTCCGCCAACCCCGTTGTCCCCCTGCCCGCCCTCCACCCCCCGACCCCTGCCCCCAGTCCCCCGCCCCCCGACCCACTGTCCTCTCCCCGCCCCCCACCCCGCCGTCCCCGCCTCTGCCCCCCCCCCTTCCGCGCTGTGCCCGCACCCTCATCCCAGGACCCCTCTTTGGTTCGAGTGCTGCGCTGCGCCCGCCCTGGAAAGTTGGACCCCCCTCGGCCCCCGGGATCCCGGCTCGAGCCCCTCCGTCCGCACACGCTGGGAGCCTCGGGTGGGGGCGGCTGCGCTCGGGGATCCCGGTTCCGCGACCCCTTCACCCGCGAGCAGAGGCGCCAGGCCCTTCCTGCCTCCGCCGCCGACCCCCGCGGATTCCCACAGTGGGGAGGGGAGGGGAGGGGAGGGCGCACGCCCCCCGCCCGTGGCGCCCAAACCAGCGCGTTTCCTTTCTTTCCGGGAGAAACCTGCCTTCCCGGAGCCCCTTCCCCGGGGACCGGGGACCTGGGGGCCGAGGCCGAGGTCAGGAGAGGCGGCCGGTGACCGTGGCCGTGGCTGTGGCCGAGAAGGGCGCTCACGGCTCCGTCTCCCGCCCCCGCCTCCCCCGCCCCAGGCTGAGTTCGCGGCCACCGGGGAGCTTTGCATTGTCTGGCCGTCCAGCCTCCTCCCCAGACGCCTCCCGGGCGCGGGAACAGCCCGGGCTGTGCAGAGCTCAGCTGCGTGGTGGCCCCTGTGGTCCCGGGGTCTTCGAGTTAAGGGCTGAGCTGACCCCATCGATGCACATTGACTGGAAGAAGGAGGATTTGGGGAAATGGATACTTTGCTGTCAACTTCTCGTGTCTCCCAGTTTGCTGCCGAGTTGAGTTTGGGTTTCTGAGTGTGTCCCTTGGGTGAGGATGTCTGTCTCTGTGATAATAAAGCACATCCAGGACATTTTGTAATGAATGGAGTCAGAAAAAGTTTTGGAGCGCTGTTGCTTCGTGAGTGTATATGATGCAACGTGTGAATCCAGCCCCTTTCCCTTTTTGAGGAAAGCCTGTTTCTGGAGTGGACAGAAGGGCTATTCTGGGGGCGTTTAGTTTCCTCTGGGGAGCATGGCGAGGCGTGCCACGTGTTCCTTTTATATGTGCAGAATCTTGTTGAGAAGCATGATTTAGATTTACTGGGAGCAAAAGGCTTACACTGTGACCCCAAATGTCTTGAGTAAATCATCCATCCCGAAGCAGTGGGAGGTAGAGATTCGAGATTTAAAGTATGAAATACAGTTGATCCGATGCAGTTTGTAAATTTCATATTGGGAAAACATAGGTTCACTAACCACTCAGAGGCAAGAGTTGGCATTTTTACTGCTTTTTAGGTTATTTTGCCCATTTTGATTGACATGCTTGATATAGTATGAATATGCATGGCCAGTACTTTTTGATTCAAAATACGAGAATCCTTTGTTTTCCTTGGTGGTGGTTTTTGTGATACGTTCGTGGAGAAATAATGTTCAGAAAGGGATTTGCCAAAAAACATTTTCATTGTTACGGCAAGTTTCTGTTGTAGACTAAAGTCTACTTAAAATAATGTCCTTATCCGGCAATACAAATGATTTCTAGCTTTTGAAAACATAGAATTATGGTAAAATGTTACAGGCTTAACAGCCTATTGTTGTGTTTTTTACTGAAGAGGAAATACATTTTTTGGATAGTAAAAATATGGAGCAAACAGATGTTTTGCAAATGCTTAGAGCTTTTTCCGAAAAAGGAGAATATTTGATAGGACATGGGCCATGGCTGGCTCTCTATACCCTGGACAGGCTCTTTGCATGACAAAAAGTATTCTGCGGCCCTAGCCTGGACCTGCTGATTCCTCCATGATGAGAACCTGGATGACACAGGGCAGACTCTCATTTGAAAATACCGTTGAGAGTGCTGGACGTGCCCAAACCCTGGTGCGTTAGCATCTTAAACATTTTATTTTTTGGCCCAGAGTTTTTCTGACTCACATCCTATACTTTATTCTCTAAAACCAGTCCAGTTTTCAAGGAGGTAGTTTCTTTCCTTGGTCGTGAACAAACCACTCAAGATCTTTCTCGGGGATATATACCAGGTAAAAAGACTCCAGCTGTCCTTCTTATGGAACACATACTCTTGGAAATTACAAAAGCTACGTGCTGATTTTAAAAGGAATTATTGCCGGGTGCGGTGGCTCATGCCTGTTATCCCAGCACTTTGGAAGGCTGAGGTGGGCGGATCACCTGAGGTCGGGAGTTCCAGACCAGCCTGACCAACATGGAGAAACCCCGTCTCTACTAAAAATACAAAATTAGCCAGACCTGGTGGCGCATGCCTCTAGTCCCAGCTACTAGGGAGGCTGAGGCAGGAGAATCGCTTGAACCTGGGAGGCGGAGGTTGCGGTGAGCCGAGATCGCACCATTGCACCCCAGTCTGGGCAACAAGAGCGAAACTCTGTCTCAAAAAAAAAAAAAAAGGAATTATTTTCCCCCTTGAAACCAAAGAGATGTGGAACAAATGCCTTTTCTGTAACTGAGTTTTTGTCTCATTTGAAGTTAGGGTGCTTAGAAGCCCGTGAGCTAATGATGCTAATTTCCCCATCAGAACAAGTGAAGAGCCGGAGTTCTCCCAGCTGAGGGCACTGGATGGGTGAACACGTCTTGTGGATGGACTCTATCCGTGTCATTTCGCCAATGATAAAAATAACTCTAGAGAAGGGAATTTTGTTTTACACTGAAGGGAAACCAGAGTTCCAGATTGCTAATTTTTTTTAAATTCTCATTAACATTTGTTCTTTAAGCCCATGCGTATACTTCTTCCCATTGGGATAACAAAGGGTATGGTTCTAATTAGTTATTGGCTGGCATTTCTCTAAAGAAAATTGAAAAATTATGGTGGGGAAAGAAAATGCTGTGTGGTATTTCTTTTTTTCTTTTATTAATTTCTCCTTTATATAGTTAAAAAAAACCTGGGGATGACCGTATATGTTAAGCCTGCATTTTGCCTGGTTCCTCTCACCTTGACAGGAACTGTGAGAAAACACCAAAAAAAAAAAGGACAAAAATGTAAAAAAACATTCTTTATACAAAATTGTCCTGTTTCTGCCTGTTGTCATGGTAGGTACAAAAGTAATTGAAGCTTAATTTTTTTGGCTTCCAAAACACATATTATTTCAGCTTCCAAAACACACATTATTATATAGCTGTGCATAAATTGTAATTAGATGGTAATAGAACTTTGAGAGCATTTATAACAATTTCATCAGCAAATCTATAATCCTGAAGTTAAGGCAGTTAGACTTGTTTTAATAAGTAGGTTGGTAGATGATTTTCACATTTCTAGAGAGAAGGAATGTGATCGATAGTCAGGAGGTGGTGAAATTTGGACTTTGGGGATTTGGTCTTCCCTTTGGATTAGTATGTTACTCACTCGTCAAGACTGGAGAGGTCCGTCTCCGGGATCCACTTCAGCCTCATAGAAGTGAGCACTCTTTTGGTGTTAAAGTCGCAGAGCTCAACTTTGTCTGGGCTGGATGCCTGATCAAAAACATATGGTCAGTGTGGGTGCACTGACATCCAAGGGTGCAGACCACTGGCTTCCTCTGGACAGTTTTGTGAGGCTCTGGTGTGGCCCCAGGACTTCCTGCATGACAAAGGGGAAGAGAAAGTCTGCAGAGTCAGGGGACCCTGGTCCAGTATCCCTGGTCAGCCTGCTCCAGCCAGGGGAAGTGGAGTCTCACTCTGGCTGCTCTGGGTGGTTCTTTCAGTTCAGACTCAATGAGAAGCTTGGCTGAGAATTTACTTGAATCCCTTTGGCCCTATGGGTGGGACAGGATTTGGTAGCAACCTCAACATTCTTACAACTCCAGCTCTGCCACTCTTCCTTGAATCCAAACACTGCAGCCAGGAAGAGAACAGTTGCTGTGACACCACTGTATCTTTTCTTTGCATTCACTTTCAAGGTGGGAAAAGATGGCAAAAAGGTGCAGATTTGAAAATTAGGATTTTCTGCCTTCTTCATAAGAAGCCCGGACCAGCCAGGACAGGCTCCCACTGGTGACTGTGTTTCTAGGACTTGGGCCAGTCTTTTAGTAATAAAGGACAACAGTCCAGTTAGGAGCAGGCCGGGTGTGATGGCTCACACCTGTAATTCAGCACTTTGGGAGGCCAAGGTGGGGGGATCACTTGAGCCTAGGAGTTTGAGACCAGCCTGGGCAACATGGTGAAACATTGTCTTTGCAAAAAATAACAATTAGCTGGTCACAGTGGTGGGTACCTGTGGTCCCAGCTACTCGGGAGGCTGAGGCAGGAGGATTGCTTAAACCCAGGAGGTGGAGGCTGCAGTGAGCCATGTTTGTGTCACTACACTCCAGCCAGGACAACACAGCAAGACCCTGTATTAAATAAATAAATAAATAAATAAATAAATAAAAATAAAGTAATAAGAGCAATGTTCCTTGAGAGGCTTTTTCTTGTTCCATCATTTGTAATATATTTTTTAATCTCTTTGTTTTTTCTCTGCATAATAAGGCAGTCTAATACATGGCTAAAAATATAGAGTCTTTTGTCCTTCTGCTTGAGTTCACGCCCCCGCTCTGCCGTTTATTAGCTGTGTGTCCTTGTGCAAGGCGCTGTACATCTCTGTACCACACGTTCCTTTTCCATTTGTGATAACAGCACCTGCCTTATTGTGTAAAGGCTACGCGAGATAATATACACGTGCCTGGCATGTGGTGAGTGCTCAATAAATGCTATTATTGTGTTTAGATAAATGATCATTAAGTTTAGTCATTCATTTCATAGCTTGAGCCTTGGGAATCTATCACATTACTGAACTGTAAAACGGTTATGAGGTATATCCATATATCTATATATATATATCTATATACTTTTTTGAGATGGAGTCTCGCTCTGTCACCCAGGCTGGAGTGCAGTGGTGCGATCTCGGCTCACTGCAAGCTCCGCCTCCCGGGTTCACGCCATGCTCCTGCCTCAGCCTCCTGAGTAGCTGGGACTACAGGCGCCCACCACCACGCCTGGCTAATTTTTTTTGTATTTTTAGTAGAGACGGGGTTTCACTGTGTTAGCCAGGATGGTCTCGATCTCCCGACCTCGTGATCCGCCCAGCTCAGCCTCCCAAAGTGCTGGGATTACAGGCATGAGCCACCGCGCCCGGCATGAGGTATATTTTTAAACTTTTCAAACCAATGACTTTTACAAGCATACAAGGGGATTTGATGAAGGTGTCAAAAAAATTGCCCTACAATGGCCGGGCACTGTGGCTCACGCCTGTCATCCCAGCACTTTGGGAGGCCGAGGTGGGTGGGTCACTTGAGGTCAGGAGTTCAAGACCAGCCTGGCCAACATGGTGAAACCCCATCTCTACTAAAAATACAAAATTAACCAGGTGTGGTGGTACACACCTGTACTCCCAGCTACTCGGGAGGCTGAGGCAGGAGAATCGCTTGAACCCGAGAGGTGGAGTTGGCAGTGAGCTGAGATCGGGCCACGGCACTCCAGCCTGGGTGACAGAGCAAGACTCCGTCTTGGAAAAAAAAAATTAAATAAAAAAAATTGCCCCATAAGAGATTATAACTGCGAAGAAAGACCTAGAAGAATGAAACAACAAATACAGTGCCTTAAAGTCCCGGGATATTACTGATACTTACTGAGCTCTGTATTTCTATCTGCCAATGACGCTCCAGACTGCTGCTGATCGACGAAGCCTGGGAAAGATTTAAGTTACTATTAAGTTACCCTTTCAGTCACCCTTGTAACTTAAAGATGATCAGGCACTCTTCTTGAGAGAAATTACGCACAAAGCAATCATTTTGTGGTTTCCCAAAGCTATTAGGTGTGTCTTCCGCTGACCCTGTTTGCTTAACTCTGGGCGGTGTAGAGGTTGAAAGACTGCTGTTTCGCGTGGGAAATGGAGGGTGCTCATCTCTGGAGCTGTAGAAACGCCACCTCTAGCGTGGACCTGCCTCCCGTCCCAGCTCTGGAATGCTGCGGGATGGGTTTGCTCAGACATGTAGGCATTGCTGGTTTGGTACTCATCTCCCAGTTAGCAGCTCAGGCCTGCCTCTGAGTAGCCGTCCACAGCTCTTGCTGATCGATTTGTCTTCTGACACGGGTTGGAATGTGAGCTAGAGCACAGAGGCAAGCCCTGGAAGTTAGGGTCACTGATTTGATTCTACCTTTTTTTTTTTTTTTTTGAGACGCAGTCTCGCTCTGTCGCCCAGGCTGGAGTGCAGTGGAGCGATCTGGGCTCACCGCAATCTCCGCCTCCCGGGTTCCTGCCATTCTCCTGCCTCAGCCTCCCGAGTAGCTGGGACTACAGGGGCCCGTCACCACCCCTGGCTAATTTTTTGTATTATTAGTAGAGACGGGGTTTCACCGTGTTAGCCATGATGGTCTCGATCTCCTGACCTCGTGATCCACCCGCGTCAGCCTCCCAAAGTGCTGGGATTACAGGCGTGAGCCACCGCACCCGGCCCTGATTCTACGTTTTAAAATATTCCTACCTTTTGTTGGGAAGGTGTTGTAATGTGCACACACATTTGAGAAAACAGGCTTTGTGCACAGCTGGGGTCGGGGTTGAACAAACCCCTTGGGGATCTTCCTTTTTCCTGACAGTGATCAGGGTTCCAGGGCTCCAGCTCGTCCCGTTGTGAACTAGGTGGGATCCTTCCTGCATGATTTCATTTTGGCCAGGAGAGCACAGGCTTGGCATAGGATGTGTTTTCTTTCCTTTTTTTCTTTTTCTTTTTTTTCAGATGGAGTCTCGCTCTGCCAGGCTGGAGAGCAGTGGCGCGATCTCGGCTCACTGCAACCTCCGCCTCCTGGGTTCAAGCGATTCTCCTGCCTCAGCCTCCCGAGTAGCTGGGATTACAGGCGCCAGCCACCACGCCTGGCTAAGTTTTGTATTTTTTAAATTTTTTTTGAGATGGAGTTTTGTTCTTGTTGCCCAGGCTGGAGTGCAATGACACCATCTCAGCTCACCGTGACCTCTGCCTTCTGGGTTCAAGCAATTCTTCTGCTTCAGCCTCCCGAGTAGCTGGGATTATAGGCGCATGTGCCACCACGCCCGGCTAATTTTGTATTTTTAGTAGAGATGGGGTTTCACCATGTTGGTCTGGCTGGTCTCCAACTCCCAACCTTAGGTGGTCCGCCTGCCTTGGCCTCCCAAAGTGCTGGGCTTACGGGTGTGAGCCACCGTGACTGGCCAATTTTTATATTTTTAATAGAGACAGGGTTTCACCATGTTGGCCAGGCTGGTCTTGAACTCCTGACCTCAGGTGATCCACCCGCCTCGGCTTCCAAAGTGCTGGGATCACAGCGTGAGCTGCGGCGCCCGGCCAGGATGTGTTTTCTTTCTTCATGATCTGAATTCCCAGTGGTGCATGGTGTGAACCACCAAGGTGCTTAGTTTTCTGTGTTGCATTGAATTTACCGTTTATGCGTATTCCAAGACAATCAAGGAAAATCGCTATGAATTTGGAATCTTTGTGAATCCTGACTTTCTTTTTTTTTTTTGAGATGGAGTCTCGCTCTGTCACCCAGGCTGGAGTGCAGTGGCGCGATCTCGGCTGACTGCCAGCTCCGCCTTCCCGGTTCACGCCATTCTCCTGCCGCAGCCTCCCGAGGAGCTGGGACCACAGGTGCCCGCCCTCACGCCCGGCTAATTTTTTGTGTTTTTAGTAGAGACGGGGTTTCACCGTGTTAGCCAGGATGGTCTTGAACTCCTGACCTCATGATCCACCTGCCTCGGCCTCCCAAAGTGCTGGGATGACAGGCGTGAGCCACCGCGCTCGGTCTGTTTTTGTTTCTCAATGAGTGTTTTAAAGAGGACTAAATGAGCAAATGGATGTCACAGCTGGGTGAGTCCCAGCAGCTTCTTGTGCAACTGGATTGCCGTGTGATTCTGTGCTCAAAAATAGGAAAAAGCTTGACTCTCCATTTTTGAAATGTCAAATATCTGAGTCTATTAAAAGAGACTCGGCCACGCGCGGTGGCTCACGCCTGTAATCCCAGCACTGTGGGAAGCCGAGGTGGGCGGATCACCTGAGGTTGGGAGTTCTAGACCAACCT
Organism: Homo sapiens; assembly: GCF_000001405.40. Taxonomy (NCBI): domain Eukaryota; kingdom Metazoa; phylum Chordata; class Mammalia; order Primates; family Hominidae; genus Homo; species Homo sapiens. The sequence goes on along the minus strand of NT_187664.1, from coordinate 10,401 downwards.
GACCAATGTGGAGAAACCCTGTCTCTACTTAAAATACAAAATTAGCCGGGTGTGGTGGTGCATGCCTGTAATCCGAGCTACTGAGGAGGCTGAGGCAGGAGAATCACTTGAACCCTGGAGGCGGAGGTTGCATTGAGCCGAGATCGCACCACTGTACTCCAGCCTGGGGAATAAGAGTGAAACTCCGTGTCAAAAAAAAAAAAAAAAAAGAGTCTCATATCTGCAGACCTGTCATGCCATGCTTTAATATTTCATTGTTTGCATTTCTCTAGCATCTTTCTTCCAAAGAACTCAAAATGCGTACATATTACGTCTTCCAGCAACTAGTAATCAGTAGATATTCACCGTTTTAACTTTTCCAAGTATGTTAGAGCTGGAGAATTGAAGCAAAGAGCACCGATTATTAGATCAGGGTCACAGTGTTGGATGAAAGAGCTTGGCTGAACTCCCTTAAATTCAACTTGGTCCTTTCTGTTCACGGAATTGTACCTTAAAAAATACTCACATCAAACGTTCCGCATGGAGGAGGAGGAGCAGCAAGCCTCTTCAGGTGGCTTTCTTCCTCTAGGTGTGCAGGGACCGCTCTGAGATAAGACAGAGGTAGTTGAACGGCTTGAAACATTCGCTGGTTGCTTGGAAGGCAGGAGAGCGAGAACCTCTTCTCTCTTGCTGCCTTTTTCCATGGTGGTGTTTTTTTTTCTAAGGGCCTTTTTAATGATTTGGCTTTTTTTTAGTTCCTCCAGTGAAGGGCCCCCCAACTCCCCCTTCATCCTACGGAAAGCCTGCAGGCTGCTGTAGTGCTTTTTGTTCAGAGACAAAATTGAACTTCAGGTGTCCTGCCGAGATCCTAGGACTAAATCAGTCCTCCCTTTTATGAGGTTTGCAGAAACTGCCGTTCCAACTTCCAGTGAAATCTCAAACCTGTGCTTTCTGCACCACGACGAGGCAGAAGCCCAGTGCCGTTACTCGGGAGTGAGACCCGTCATGGAAAGTTTTGTTCTGTGGCCTCCGTGATTAAAAGCAAACGTAAATTTTCTGCGGCTTGCCGGTCATAACTCTTGGACCAGATACACAGTGTATTTTTGTATGAACTACATCAGAAAGTCCTTTTAAAAAAACAACGTAAGCTTCACTTCGTCGCTTCCTTCTGTCCAATCCGTCAGCCTCTCCCCCTGCTCCCCAGGGTGTCTCAGTACAGGCACCAATTACAGGTAAATTCAAGTGCTGTTTCTACAGTGAATGACGGTTTTATCTCATATCGTTGTCGAACAGTCACCAAACAGGGTGTGGTGAGTTCTGCTGTCCTAGGGATAGGGCTTTCTCTTTGTTTTCCTGGGAGAATTTCATCCAGATGCATCAGTTCCACATTTTTTTTTAATTTGTCTTTTTTTGGTCAATATGCCTGGGATAAAAATCTGGATGGATTTAATCTGTTTAAAATCAGAAGGCGCTGCTTTTCCTCCCGTTAAACGTGATCAGGTCAAGACGGTTTTCTTTTGATCGTGGTGGCTCACAGCACAGCTGCCTCATCTGTTACTCATTTTTCAGGTTTTGATGTGAAATCTGAAGATTGGGCGGGACCACGTGCAATAGGGAAAAATCGCAGTGTGACCGCCGGAGCCCCGAATAGGCGTGAATGTAGCTGTGAGTGCAGCGTTTTCCAGCTCTGGGCATGTTCTTGACTGCAATTGTAAAAATTGTTTTTACCCGTGATCTTTCAAAAATACTCCATTATGGTATGTGAATATTTAAAGTGTGTTCCATAGTAGACGAAGAATATAGACTGGAAATCCAGATCCAGGTTTCCCGGGTTGGAAACTTGGCTGTTTCCCGGGGGTGTGACTTTGGGGCCAGTTCTGGAATTTCTGTGTCTCTAGTTTCCTGGTGAGTAAAATGGAGATGATGGTACCAGCCTCTTAGGGTGGTTGTTAAGGATTGAATGACATAATATTTGACAAGTACTTAGGATGGTGCCTGGTGCATAGCACGTGCCGTTTAAATGTTTACCAGGCGCTTCGGTATTCATTCCACATTTTATGGTTATTTGGATTATAAGAGAGAGGAATTCAGCCTTTTTACCTCTTTGTACCCCTCCCCCATTCCAAAGCACCTAGTTATTTATTTGTATCTAGAGACTATCACAGAACCTGGTTTCTCTTCATTTTTTTGCTTCTTTTCTTTCTTTTCTTTTCTTTTTCTTTCTTTCTTTCTTTTTTTTGAGACCGTGTCTCTCTCTGTCTCCCAGGCTGGAGTGCAGTGGTACGATCTCAGCTCACTGTGACCTCTGCCTCTTAGGTTCAAGCGATACTCCTGCCTCAGCCTCCTGAGTAGCTGGGATTACAGGTGCCCGCCACCACGCCTGGCTCATTTTGTCTTTTTAATAAAGACAGGGTTTCACTATCTTGACGAGGCTGGTCTTGAACTCCTGACCTCAAGCGATCCGCCTGCCTCAGCCTCTCAGAGTGCTGGGATTACAGGCGTGAGCCACCATGCCTGGCCTCTCTTCATTTTCCTTCTAGGACAATAATTGTCTGTCAGTTGTTGATTTGATGACATCTGTGTCTTTGATTGTTTGCTTGTTTGTGTGAGAGAGCTCTTGCTGTGTTGCCCAGGCTAGAGTGCAGTGGCACAGTCAGGGCTCACTGCAGCTTTGACCTGGGCCCAGGCAGTCCTCCCACCTCAGCCTCCCGAGTAGCTGGGAATGCAGGTGTGCACCACCACGCCGGGCTGCATCTGTGTATCTTTGCATATGGGTGTAATTCTAGATCATCTCTTTGACTAATCAGGTGCTCGGTTTTACTGAATGGATCCCGCACCCTCTTTTGAGCTGGGAGAGGCCAGGGGGAGATACTGGTCTGTGCATATGTCTCTTAATATTATTTATTTTGGGAAACTTTAAATATCATGCAGGTAGAGAAAGCAGTTCAGTGAATCCCCACATATCCACCCACATTCAACAGTCATCAACTCAAGGACACCTACTGCCCCCACCCCCACCTCCTCAATGATCTTGAAGATAGTCCCAGCCGTCATCTCATTTCCTTCATAAGCATTTCACTAAGTAACCCTTAAAAAACATAACCACAATATCACACCCAAGAAATCCATCAGTTCTTTAGTTTCAGCAAATATCCAGTTAGTATTCACATTTTCCTGATTGTCTCCTAATTTTTTTTTTTTTTTGAGACGGAGTCTCGCTCTGTCGCCTGGGCTAGAGTACAGTGGCGCGATCTCAGCTTGCTGCAAGCTCCGCCTCCTGGGTTCACACCATTCTCCTGCCTCAGCCTCCCAAGTAGCTGGGACTACAGGTGCCCGCCACCATGCCTGGCTAATTTTTTGGTATTTTTAGTAGAGATGGGGTTTCACCATATTAGCCAGGATGGTCTTGATCTCCTGACCTCGTGATCCACCTGCCTCGGCCTCCCAAAGTGCTGGGATGACAGTTGGTTTGTTTGAATCCAAATAAAATTTGCCCATTACATTTGGTAGCTGTATCCCTTAAGCCTCTTTTAACCTATAGTTTCCCTTCCCTGCTTTTCCTTGCAATTTATTTGTTGTTCTTATCCATTTAACTTGGTCCTGTCCCTGGGTCTGCCTCCTTGCCACATTCCTGAACTTTTCTGAGCCCTGTTTTCTGCCTTATCTAGGTGTGTAGAATATCAACTCCTGGGTTCAGAAGGGTCTGAGTTTCCTGTGGGTGAGAGGTCCAGATATAGGTCAGCTTTAGGCCCGGGTGGCACAGATGCCGTCCTGGGGCAGGTCCTTGCCCATCTCCCCGCCCCGCCTGTCTCTGCGCCCTGGCCTCTGGCAGGCTGTTCCTCATCTCCTAGTGGCCTGAGGACCATCGGCAGTTCTGAGCCTGCTTCCTGTCCTCCCAGACTCCCAGCAGCAGGAGTCCGGCATGGTCGCCCTTGATCCCATAACTGGTCACTGTGGCCGGGATGTGTAAATACCAAAGGGCCAAGCCTGAGTTGTGTCCACACCTGTGTAGCTGGAGGCTGGGGTCCCAAGCCAGGTGGACTGAGCCTCAGGCCTGGGGGCTGTGGGGGGGCTTGTCAAGAAAAATCAGGGTGTATTACTGAGGGAGAGTGGCCCCTACGGTCACCGTCTCTGTGTGGGGTGTTTCCAGTGACCCCAACACACCATCTCCTGAGGAAGTCCATTCTGACCTCAGCCGTCCTCTCCCAGGGGACCGCTGGGCCGTGAAGAACTGCAGACAACTCTTCTCTCTCCCCAGGGAGAGTCCCCTGGTCCTTGGAGCATTTCTCCTGTGATGTGGGTTCACCCTTCCCCCCCACCCAGGCCATTCAGATCCAAGCACCCTCCAAGATTGTCTGCCCCACCCCCCCAACAGTCATCCCCCCACCTGAATGCAGACTCCAGTGTGGTCTGTCCAGGCACAGAGGGCAGCTGGCTGCCCTACCTCCTTTGTTGCCCAATTTTTTGGCCTCCCTGGGCCACGTTGGAAGAAGAATTGTCTTGGGCCACACATAAAATATGCGAACACCAGCCGGGCGTGGTGGCTCATGTCTGTATTCCCAGCACTTTGGGAGGCTGAAGTCGACGGATCCCCTGAGGTCAGGAGTTTGAGACCAGCCTGACCAACATGGAGAAACCCCGTCTCTACTAAAAATACAAAATTAGCCGGGCGTGGTGGCGCATGCCTGCAATCCCAACTACTCGGGAGGCTGAGGCAGGAGAATCATTTGAACCCTGGAAGCGGAGGTTGCGGTGAGCCAAATTCGTGCCACTGCGCTCCGGCCTGGGTAACAAGAGCGAAACTCCATCTCAAAAGAAAAAAAAATGCTGACAACACTAGTGATAGCTGATGAGCTAAAAAAAAAGCAAATAGCAAAAAAATCTCATAATGTTTTAAGAAAGTTTACAAATTTGTGTTGGGCCCCATTCAAAGCTGTCCTGGGCCACATGTGTCCGCGTGCTGTGGGTTGGACAAGCTTGTTGTAGATGTTATGTAGACTTCTGTTACCATGTCGCGAGATCTCATTGCATTCACTTTTCTTTTCTTTTTTTTTTTTTTGAGACAGAATTTTGCTCCTGTTGCCCAAGCTGGAGTGCAGTGGTGCCATCTCAGCTCACTGCAACCTCTGCCTCCCAGGTTCAAGTGATTCTCTTGCCTCAGCCTCTCGAGTAGCTGGGACTACAGGTGCCCGCCACCACACCCAGCTAATTGTTTGTATTTTTAGTAGAGACAGGGTTCCACCATGTTGGTCAGGCTGGTCTCGAACTCCTGACTTCATGTTTTCCCCACCTCGGCCTCCCAAAGTGCTGGGATTATAGGTGTGAGTCACTGTGCCCTGTCTGTTGAAGTCACACCATTCTCCTGCCTCGGCCTCCCGAGTAGCTGGGACTACAGGCTGATGTGATCACCTACAGTCATCAAAGCCCCTTCTTAGCTCTGTGTTATGTGGTCCCTGCTAGACTGTTGTTTATACAAGCAGTTGATAAAAATGTTGATTAGCCTGAGTCTGGGGATAGAGTTGGGGGGTTATGCCGCTAGACACCTTCTCCAGGCTAGGAGGAGTCTGTTAGTCAGTTGCTCAGCCGTCTTCAAATCCAGCCGATTCCAAACTTGCCCTGATTGGATTATGATTCAGCCCACACTCCTCGGTGTGATCAGCATGTTTATTGTAGGAGGCCCTCACAGACAGCTTGCTATCACTTAGATAGTTCCTATTGATAGTTTTCAAGGAAAGATAGTCTGAAATGACGTGTGTTTGGTGAATGCATGCTTGCTTCTAACAGATCCCTTCTTTTCCTAAGTGTGTGTGATAACTAAAGTAAGCCGGAAGGTCTGTTGAAGGGTTGATGTCGAGTCCAGCTCTCTGCCATCTGGAGAATCTCCCACTTTTGTCTTTTTGAAAATCGAGACTCCCTCCGTCGGTGGGTTGCTGGTCACGAAATCACGGATGACGGTTAAGTGAGCTTAAGGCCCACGTTCTCCCTCTTGGATGTAATCTGAGAACTGCTTTATCTGCTGGGCATGTGTGGAGTGTGGGTACAATTGTTTCCTGCAGAGGACCCTGTGGAAATAGCTGGCTAGATACGCCCAATAGTCAGTGTGCGGTTGAGAGTCCCCCATTTGTCCAGAAGGCGCAGAGCTTGTACTTCCTGAGGGCCATGTGGTAATCCTGACTGCCCTGCCCTCTACCCAACACCCCTCTCCCCGCCTCCTCTCATTAGGGCATTAATGGAGCCTGAGGGAGTCTTTTTCTTAATACCATTCTCTCCGTCACACACAGGATGCGAAGCCCGCTGGCTAATTAAGTGTGGCATTTTGTTTCAAAATTATCCATAGACAGTCACTAGCTGCAAAGCAGCCCACTGTCCTTGTGCTGATAGATGTTTTTCTTAATATTTTAGGGTGACTCAGTCCATTTATTTCATGAATTTTACCTTACTTTGAAATAGGTTTCTTTTCTTACACAAGTGTCTTTGACCACCTAAAGTTACACACAAATCTGTAATATACATTGCAGTTTGGCACCTAAGGATTCTGACATTTCAGATGTAGGCGTGAGGGTGAATTGGAAGTAAATGCCTTCAGACATTTTCCTGGGGGGAAATCAGTTTCCTAAATTTGCAGAAAGTCCCGGCTTCAACCCTTGGATGCGTTGCTTTAAGCTTTTTACAAATGTTCTTAAGAATAAAATGCTACTTAATACCACGTGAACATATTCTCTTTCATTTGGATTTGCGGAAAGTATTAATTTGCAGAGACTGGGGTGGAACACTCTAGTTCTGAAGCGCTTTTTGAAGCCCTTCTTTCTTGTGAAGAAATTAGTGACATTTTTTCTGAGATCCTCTGGATCTGTTCTGCCCCTGAGCCAACAGTTCAGGCAAATAGAGATCCTTACAACAAAACACGGTGTGTGTTCATGAGGAGACAGGGATTTATCTGTCTCTGTACATGCAGCACAAATTATGGCTTTCCTGCTGACTGTTTACATTAGAAAGCCATTTATATTCCTCTGCTCAGCATGACTTCATACGCCATGTTTCTCTGTGTTCACTGTTTTCCATCTGCAAGAGAGAGCCAGCATTTTTTGTTTTTGTTTTTGAGACGGAGTCTTGCTCTGTCGCCCAGGCTGGAGTGCAGTGGCGCGATCTCGGCTCACTGCAAGCTCCGCCTCCCGGGTTCACGCCATTCTCCTGCCTCAGCCTCCCAAAGTGCTGGGATTACAGGCGCCCGCCACCACGCCCGGCTGATTTTTTGTATTTTTAGTAGAGACGGGGTTTCACCACGTTAGCCACGATGGTCTCGATCTCCTGACCTCGTGATCTGCCCTCCTCGGCCTCCCAAAGTGCTGGGATGACAGGCGTGAGCCACCGCGCCCGGCCCAGCATTTTATTTATTAACTGTAACAATAATCCTCTTTCCAAAGATAACATCACTGTTAGTAGTGTCTGGTATGTTTTTCCAGAAAAAGAATAGGCATATACTGCATATGAAAATACATATGCTTAAATGGTTTTTTGCGCAAATCAATTTAGCATTTTAAAAAAAAAAATTTCCTTTTTGTCCTTTTTTCCCTGAGACAGAGTCTTGTTCTGTCACCCAGGGTGGAGTGCAGTGGTGCGATCTTGGCTCACTGCAACCTCCGCCACCTGGTTTCAAGCGATCCTCCCACCTCAGCCCCCTGAGTAGTGGGAACTGCAGGTGTGTCCCACCACACCGGACTGATGTTTTTATTTTTTGTAGAGGAGGGTTTCACTATTTTGCCCAAGCTGGTCTCGAACTCCTGGCCTCAAGCGATCCACCTGCCTTGGCCTCCCAATGTGCTGGGATTACATACGTGAGCCACTGCGCCTAGCCCGGATATAGCATTTTAAATTAACTGTTATTTTCTGGAAGGGCAGTATGTTAAAAAAAAAATTTCAAATAAAATGAAAGGGGTGTGTGTGTGTGTGTGTGTGTGTGTCCGTCCCAGTACCTATACCTTTTTTTTTTTTTAAATCAAGCCTTTTAAATGGGTCTTGGTTATATCCTCGGCTAACCTGACAGGTGCTGCTTTTTCTGTCTCAGGTGGGTAGAGGCTAAAAGTGTCAGTGTGTGCCTGTCTGATAACCTTGTATGATTTCTGCCTTGATAATGAACCCAACACAGTTAGAGACAAGGAACAGAATCCCTCAAACCACCGCTCTCCTTAGATGGGAAATGTCTCAGGCTGATGTGCTCCCTGTGTACAACAGGCGAAAGGAGGCCTTTGAAAGCCGCTTCCCCGTCCTTAGAGAGGGGCCCCTCTAGGACTGATGGAAAGCAGTGAGAAGATGGTGTCTGTGAAACTCCCGCCGCTGGGCTCTGCCGTTTGGATAAGCTGAGAGGCTCATTCTCTGAGGCCATCAGTCTCCGCTTCCAAGCGCATTCAGATGTATATGGGGACAAAAGCCTTCTCCGTGCCGGGCACTTCTATTATGCTGTGGCTTTTGTGGGGGACTAGTATTAGGCAACTTGTATTTAATATAGATTTTTTTACTTACTGAAGGTTGCTGTATTTTTAAAAACCCACCTCACCTTAAATCCAAAGTTATGAAATAGATAAATTCAGGGACAATTCACATTTTTAAAATCTAATATTTATTTATTTATTTTGAGATGGGGTTATGAGACTGGCTAATTTTTGTATTTTTGGTAGAGACGGGGTTTTACCGTGTTGTCCAGGCTGGTCTCGAACTCCTGGACTCAAGTGATCCACCTGCTTCCACCTCCCAAAGTCTTGGGATTACAGGCGTGAGTCACCGTGCCCGGCTGGGAATCCTCTTTTTATCACAGAAGGACCTTCGTTTTGTTAGGCAATATGCCTAGTTGTTTCAGATTGTGAGCTCCTAAGAGGTGTTCAACCTGTGATTGCCTCTGCTTAGGAAAATTCACCTGCAGTGTCTCAGGAATGTATCTATTGCTTTGAGAAAAGTGTACAAATATGATGTCAAAAGTCTTCTCACCTACTATTACACACAACTCTCCCCCGTTTTCCTGAATGTTCCTTCTTTTCTTCTTTTCTTGAGACAGAATCTCACTTTGTTGCCCAGGCTGGAGTGCAGTGGCGCGATCTCGGCTCACTGCAGCTCCACCTCCCGGGTTCAAGTGATTCTCCTGCCTCAGCCTCCTGAGTAGCTGGGATTACAGGCACGCGCCACCACGCCTGGCTAATTTTTGTGTTCTTGGTAGAAACGAGGTTTCACCATGTTGGTCAGGAAGGTCTTGAACTCCTGACCTCAGGTGATCCACCCGCCTCCACCTGGCAAAGTGTTGGGATTACAGGTGTGAGCCACTGCACCCAGCTAATGTTCCTTATTTTCTTCTTTATGAGGCCACTGAGAAAATTTATAATTCATTTGGTTGCAGGTTCATGTAAGCAAGTTGCTTAAGAAAAGTCAAAGGGTTGCTATGGGAATGTTAATTAAATAAATAGATAGTAGAAATTATGAAAGGCAAACTTTTCAAAGATTCAGTGAGCCCTAAGGGAGGACTTGATTTAAGAAGGGAAGGGGAATTAATGTCAGTTTAGAAGTGAGAATATGATCTGAATTAGTCATAAATGCAGATGAAATGTACATCCTGTAGGTTAGGACAAAACTGTTAAGATGCTTACCTCATTTTACCTTGCCCTCCTGAAGAGATTCCTTACAGCTGTATATCCTAGTGAGACCCTGGAAATCCTCTGAATGTTAACAATCATGGAAGGGTTAAGTAAATTACAATACTTACTGTCTTGTTGAACAGCTATTTCTTTTTCTTTTTTTTTTTTCTTGAGACGGAGTCTCACTCTGTCGCCCAGGCTGGAGTGCAATGGCATGATCTCGGCTCACTGCAACCTCTGCCTCCCGGGTTCAAGCGATTCTCCCGCCTCAGCCTCCCAAGTGGCAGGCACGCGCCACCACACCCGGCTAATTTTTGTATTTTTAGCAGAGAAGGGCTTTTGTCGTGTTGGCCAGGCTGGTCAGGAACTTCTGACCTCAGGTGATCCGCCTGCCTCAGCCTCCCAAAGTGCTGGGATTACAGGCATGAGCCACTGTGCCCAGCCTGAATAGCTATTAAAAATCGAGTTAATTGGCCAGGCACGGTGGCTCACGGCTGTAATCCCAGCACTTTGGGAGGCCGAGGCAGGCAGATCACGAGGTCAGGAGATCGAGACTATCCTGGCGAACACGGTGAAACCCCGTCTCTACTAAAAATAGAAAAAATTAGCCGGGCGTGGTGGCGGGTGCCTGTAGTCCCAGCTACTCAGGAGCTGAGGCAGGAGAATCACTTGAACCTGGGAGGCGGAGCTTGCAGTGAGCCGAGATTGCGCCACTGCACTCCAGCCTGGGTGGCAGAGCGAGACACCATCTCAAAAAAAAAAAAAAATCGAGTTAATTGGCCAGGCGTGGTGGCTCACACCT